>NC_000003.12:88797878-89100909 GCF_000001405.40 Homo sapiens
AAGTGGGTCCAGAGTTGCTGTCCAGAAGCCAGGGGCTAGAGTCAAACACCTTAGACATCTACCTAGTGTTCTATTGTACTTCAGCTGAGCCGGCACTCAAACCATAAGATGCAGTGCTTCCCACTCTTCCTTTCCCTTTCCTATGGCAGGAGGCCTCACTCCATGGCCACTGACACCTCAGGCCCACAGGCAGTACTGCCATATTACTGCTAATGTTCCCTTAAGGCTCAAGCACACTTCAATCAGCTTGTGGTGAATGCTGCAAGGCCTGGCACTCACCCTTCAGGGCAGTGGGCTCCTCTCTGACCCAGGGAAGGTCCAGAAATGTCATCCACGAGCCAAGGCCTGTAGTTGGGTACCCCAAGAGCCTGTGTTCTACCACACTGTGGCCAAACTGGTATCTAAGGTGCAAGACAAACTCCTCTTTACTTTTCCCTTTTGTTTTCTCAATCAGGGGGAGCCTCTCCCCATAGCCACTGTAGCTGGTAATGTGCCGAGTCCCACCTGAAGCCAGCAAGTCTCAGAATCTCACCCATGGCACACAATATACTAGCTGGTTATCCAGGGCACAAGGGCTCTTCATTTAGCAGGTGATGAATCATTCCAGGCCTGTATTCTTCCCTTTAAGGCAACAATTTCTTTCTAGTCCAAGGTGTGTCTAGAAATATCATCTGGAAGCTAGGGCCTGGAAAGGGTCCTCACGACTCTGACTGGTGTCCTATCCTATTGTGGCTGAGCTGGTATCCAAAGATAGAAGACAAAGCCCTCCTTATGCTTCCCTCTACTCTTTTCAAGTAGAAGGAAAGGGGTTATTTTTGGAGCCACAAGTTGTGCAGCCTGGGGTTGGGGGAGGTATAGTGCCAGCATCCCTCTACCCACCATGGCTGGTTCTCAGTAGGTTGTATGCCCCCCAAGTACCATGGCTCTGAGCCCAATTCAGCCCTAGGACTTACCCAAGAGTTGCAGCTCTTGTGACCTAGACTGCCTATCAAGTTTAAGGCCCCAGAGGACTTTAGCTCATGGTGGCAATGCTTGCAGGAACTCAAGTTTCAACTGCTAGGATGGGAGACTGCTCTCTAGCTAGGTCTGCTTTAAATGTTTCCTCTATAGGTAGGTGTCAGCTGAGTTTGTTCCAGTTTTGCTTTCTGCTATTACAGGGCAGCACTGAGTTCAATGCAATGCCTTATGAGTTCAGTGCTCTCCCTCTCCCTAGAGTTCAGATTCTCTCTCTGCACCATGCTGCCACTGCCGGAGGATGAGGGATGAGTTGTGTCAGAGGCGCAACACTGTTTTGCCTAACTCTTCGGTGTTTCTTTGAGTAATATATAGTTAAACCAGGTACTTCAAGTGTTCACTTGATTTTTAGTTCTTATAAAGGTGCTTTTTTGGGTGTAGATACTTGTTAAATTGATGTCCTTGCCTATGGGATGATTGGTAGAGCCTTCTATTCTGGCATCTTGCACAACCTCCTCTTTTTACATGTGATTAACTGATAAATACTCTTACTAATACTGAGCTTGATAAAGGAAAGAAACATGTTCAACTGATAGAACGTTTTCTCAAATGTTCAAATGAGATTTTAAAAAATAAAACACATTCATCTCTTGTTATAATCAGTGTAAACAGTCATCAGTTTTACAGGACAGTGGTAAAATAAAGCAGAGACAGAGAAATAAAGGAAGACAGTTGTATACATCAGATTATTAAAAACCAACACAAAACGATTTTCCTTTTAGAAATATGCTAATTAATAGTCTTTTATTTTTAATCTAGCTTTGTTTGCCTCTGGAAGGAATACACTATAAAAGGCAAACCTCATGAATATCACAATAAACAGAAGGTCTGGAAAGCAAAGATTTGCCAACTGAGAATGTTAATAATGTAGCGATGTGCTCAGGAATTGAAATTGGCGTCAGTCTGGGCAGATCTAAAGACTATATCTAAAAGTGGCACAATTATAATAAAATCAAACGAAGGGGTTTATTATTCTTAAAAATGGGAAGAGAGCCTGTCTCCTCTCTTGTTATTTCTCCTATATTTGATTATCCATTTGGAAGTGGGTGAGTAGAGTTGCTATAGTAAGGGCAGGAGTATGGACATTATATTTGAAGTAGAAAGAAATTTTATGAGTATTCTAGAAATTTACACAACATTTTCATGAGACCATTATCAATTGGATACATAATAAAAATATATCAGGCATAGTAGTAAGAAGGAATGTCTTATTTTGGCCTGTGCTTCATCACACGAGAGAAAAGTGATTGAAGAAAAACCTTACACGTTGTCATGTATTCCAAAATGAAAACAAAGTGTATCTTGTGTTTCTTGTTCTTTTATGATTTAAATAGTTAATAAGCTACATGGCAATATGGGCCACTGCTTATAATAATGTTATACTCAATGTGAACTAGAAGTACAGAAATGATTATTATAAATGTATATATTCATATATACTGTGTCTATGTATCTATATGTCATTTATCTGAATGATATTTGGCTATACTTCTTACAGTCAATCAGTTCAATTATTTTGCCTTATTTAAATAAAATTAATGCATTACATAATTATGGCAAGAAGATATTTTTAATTGAGATATGATTTATGTATTTTAAACTTTCATTTCAATAAATTTAAATAAATGTATAGTTCCACATAACACTATCCCAGTCAAGCTGTATAAAATTTTATTACCCTGAAAATTTCTCTACTTCCCTTCTTCAGTAAATTCTCCACCCTAACCTTACATGTGACTGTTTTCATTTCCATTATTATAAATTTATTTGACTGTTTTAAAACTTTCTATTAAAAAACATATAGTATTTATAATTTTGTATCTGTTTTCTATTGTTCAGCATAATATTTTGAGATTTATTTGTGATATTGTATGAGCAGAAAGTTGTTCCATTTTATTGCCGAGTATTACTGTTATATGAACTTATCATTGGAAAGAATTTGAACAATATTTTCTTATGGAGTATTTTTTCCCTAATTGAACTTAACAGAAAATGAGGAGTCCTGAGTTCTAGTCTCAATGTTATCATTCATCCAAATTTGAGTGTGTCTCTTCAACAAGCTAGATCTCATCTTCATCTTTCTAATTAAAGAGTGGTTTTAGATAATCATGGAACCTACTTCAACTCAAATATTCTAGATCTAGTTTATGGTTGTCTATCAGTTAAATATTTATTTCATTAAGAACTATCTCTAGATTACTAACAAATTCATTCATCTTATGTCAACGAGGGGCGTCTTCAACTTAATTCTCAATTTCCATGACAACAAAATTATGCTTTTTTGTCTTCCTTAGGTTAGCTTTTCTTTTCTTTTTTAATTTTTATTTAAAGTTCAGGGGTACATGTGCAGGTCTGTAATATAGGTAAACTCATGTAATGGGCGGTTGCTGTACAGATTATTTTGTCACCCAGTTATTAAGCCTAGTACCCATTAGTTATTTTTCCTGATCTTTGCACTCTTCCCACCCTCACCCTCCAGGAGGCCCTGGTGTCTGTTGTTTCCTTCTTTGTGTCCATATATTCTCATTATTTAGCTACCACTTGTAAGTGACAACATGTGGTATTTGATTTTCTATTTTTGCATTAGTTTGCTAAGGAAAATGGTTTCCAGCTCCATCCATTTCCCTGCAAAGGACATGATCTCATTACCTTTTATGGCTGCATAGCTGCATAGTATTCCATGGTGTATATTTTCTTTATCCAGTCTGTCAGTGATGGGCATTTAGGTTGATTCCATGTCTTTGCTTTTGTGAATAGTGCTGCAATGAACATACCAGTGCATGGGTCTTTATGGTAGAATGATTTACATTTCTTTGGGTATATACTCACTAATGAGATTGCTGGGTCGAATGGTAGTTCTGTTTTTAGGCGTTTGAAGATTCACCACACTGTTTTCCACAATGGTTGAACTAATCTACACATCCCTCAACAGTGTATAAGTGTCCCTTTTTCTCCACAACCTAACCAGCATCTGTTATTTTTTGACTTTTTCATAATAGCTATTCTGACTGGTCTGTGATAGTATCTCATTGTGGTTTTGATTTGCATTTCTCTTAATGAATGACCAGTGATATTGAGCTTTTTTTTTAATATGCTTGTTGGCCACATGTATGTTTTCTTTTGAGAAGTGTCTGTTCAAGTCTTTGGCCCACTTTCTGATTTTTTTTCTTGTAAACTTGTTTATGTTCCTCATAGAGGCTGGATATTGGATGTTTGTCAGATGCGTAGTTTGCAAAATTTTTCTCTTATTCTGTAGACTGTCTGTTACTCCATTGATAGTTTATTTGGATATGCAGAAGCCATTTAGTTGATTTAATTAGATTCCATGTTTTCAATTTTTGCTTACAATTGCTTTCAGCATCTTTGTCATAAAACCTTTAGTTTAATTAGATCCTATATATCAGTTTTTATTGCAATTGTTTTTGGCATCTTCGTCATAAAATCTTTGCCCATTCCTATGTTCAGAATGGTATTGCCTTGGTTGTCTTCCTGTGTTTTTAGAGTTTCAGGTTTTAAATTTAAGTCTTTAACCCATATTGTGTTAATTTTTGTATATGATGTAAGGAAGGAGTCCAGTTTCAGTCTTCTTCATATGGCTAGCCAATTATCCCAGCACCATTTATTGAATAGGGAGTGGTTTCCCCATTGCTTATTTTTGTCAACTTTGTTGAAGATCAGATAGTTGTAGGTATGCAGCTTTATTTCTAGGCTGTCTATTCTATTCCATTAGTTTATGTGTCGATTTTTTGTACCAGTATCATGCTGTTTTGGTTACTACAAGCCTGTAGTATAGTTTGAAGTTGGGTAGCATCATGCCTTCAGTTTTGTTATTTTTGCTTATGATTGCTTTTAAAAATTCCTTTGAAGGAAGATATGGTTTGAAACTGAGAATTACTCCTATTTCCCTTTCACTAATTTGTTGTATTACTTTTAGTTTTTGCTAAACCAAACATTGGTTAATTTGAAATATACCTTATTTATGTCTGTCAAAATTCGCAACATCTTTTAAAGATATGTTTACATTGTTACTTTTTTTTTTTTTTAAGACAGAGTCTCACTCTGTCACCCAGGTTGGAGTGAAGTGGCATGATCTTAGCTCACTGCAGCTGCTGCCTCCCAGATTAAAGTGATTCTCATGCCTCAGCCTCCCAAGTAGCTGGGATTACAGGCATGCACCACCACGCCCAGCTAATTTTTGTATATTTTTAGTAGAGACAGGGTTTTGCCATGTTGGCCAGGCTGATCTCAAACTCTTGGCCTCAAATGATCCACCCACCTCAGGCTCCCAAATCGCTGGGATTACAGGCATGAGTCACCACACCCAGCCCACACTGTTACCT
The DNA here is from genome assembly GCF_000001405.40 of Homo sapiens. Classification (NCBI taxonomy): domain Eukaryota; kingdom Metazoa; phylum Chordata; class Mammalia; order Primates; family Hominidae; genus Homo; species Homo sapiens. The sequence goes on from NC_000003.12 coordinate 88,803,233, forward strand.
TTTCCATAGCCTTTTTATAACCACTCAAGTCAGGAGTGAATGAACCTCTCTAACCTTTGATATCAGATTATATTTTGTATAATTCTTACCTTCTTTTAATCATTCATTATTTATTCAAGCACTACTGCATGTCTTAAGCCTATGACTAGTGTAAAGGATATAATAATGAGCAAAAGAGAGTCTCAAACTTCATGTGCTTTTATCCCAGCATGTCACCATGAAGCGATTACTCTGAATTATAAACAAGTTCTCTGAAAAAAATTGCTGATGCTGTCATGCTGCCACAATAGTAATATCTAACCTAGTTTTGTGTGGGTCAGGGGAAGATCCTATGAGTATGTGATGTTGAAGTCTGAGGATGAGTTAGTGCTCTGAAGGTCTGTGTATGCATATTGGGTGAATGTGTATTAGTGCACAAGTGTGCATATTTGTGTGGGTGCATATGTTTATGTCATGGGTGATGGTTTAGCTTTTACCCGATGAACTATTTATAGAGTTTTAAACAGAGATAAAAATTAATCAAATATTTAGAGTTAGAAGAGAGTTTTGGACTGAATGTCCACGTTAGAAATCTTTGGTTGACATATGAGGAAGGAAGCTTTGTATGTTGATGAGATGCCTGAGCAGAGTGTTAGAAATGATAAGAGGTATCAATTCTAACTTCAGAATCTCTCAAAATAACCATTTCCACATTTAAATGTATTATAGATATGTATAGACATATCTCAGTACCTCCTCTTAAATTTTAAGACCCTGTGACTGAATTAACATAACAAGTCTAATGGGGATTACTAGGTTTTATTTGAACAAAAGAAAAGCTCTATTTCTGCTGAGGTTGAGTGAAGGTAGGATGATAAAAATCTGGAACTATGTCCCAGGTTGCATTACCTGGAAAACAGACTTTGAGCAGAAATTTGTGTTTAGAAAGTTTACTGGGAAGCTCTCAAAATCAGCAATTAAAAGGGGGAAAAAGAATGAGAATCAGGCAGAGGGAGGATAGGGTTTGGATGAGTCCCAAAGCCCTCAGTTGATCCTGTGGAGCTCTGGAACTTGGTGGCTCCACAGAAATCACCCCTGGAAGGGTAGGGAGGCAGGGATTTTCTCAGATGCTGGCTGCCCCCAAGGAAAGAATTTGTCCTTGGGAAGGTGGATCTTCTCAGGTGGGCACAACTCCTAGAAAGAGACACAGCTGCCAAGATCAAGGGGAAAAATAATATTTCAAGCCTAAAAGGAGAATCTAGTGCAAAAGATTATTAAGCTTGTCTAGCTAAGTATCACAGAAAAAATACATCAGAGAGATTAAAAAGTGAGTGCTAGACATGGTTTTGGGGGCTCTAAATCCAGCTATTTCTGAATTATTACCTTTTGGGTTTTTCATATTATCAATTATAAAGATCTCCCATCTACTTCTTTCATTGTGATTTTTCAATAAGTTTTGCTGTCAGCAGTTAATACACTGTTTTTTAAATTATTATTCACTCTTTTCAGGGATACAGAAGAAAACCAAGTTGATGAAGAGAAATATCAGAAAGCTTGTCTTCTGAAATCTTCTGAGAAAGATATAAGAAATTATAAGCATAATGACTACAGCAGGATTGTAAAACTGAGGACTGTCTTTCACAGGTGAGTGTTGTTAGATTTTTTACTTTTAATGAGGGAATTAGGATGGACAATAAACTTTCTGAGAATGGGATGAATTTAGGATGAGGCCTTCATTTGACCTTAATGGCAAAGTTTTCCCATGCGTGTACTAAAAAATGCTGCTTCTTCAGGTCTGGAAAAAGACACTCAAATGATTTGGACATCCAAGCATTACTTTAAAAAAAATCTTTCTTTGAAAATAGTGCATCTCAGAAAGAAGGATGGGAACTCAATATTTGGAACCCTGTCTCCACTGTGTGCATGCTTTGTCAGCAAAGTGAGTTTAGATCTTAGCTTAGTTATTTTTAATTGCTAGTAATTATCCAAAACAAGAAAGCTACATTGGCAAATATGGTATTTCCTCTACTATGCCTTTGAAAAAAAACACAATTAAAGTAAAAATATGGCCTAATTGCCAGAAATCAATGTTAAGAAGTAAATTTCCCTTATAAATTCTCCTCAGTGATGCTTGGCAAAAGCATTATGTAATGTCACATTCTTACTTCAGAGGTAATATTTCAGTTCAATTAGTTTCTCATCCAATTGATATTACCTATTTCAGAAAGCCATTAAAACCAAAAAAAGGAAAAATTTGGGACCTGGATAAAGAAGTAGATTATTCTCAGGAAGTGTCATTTGCATTATTATTTACAGCATTATTTACACTTAGGCTGCTGATCAGTAGTGACCCTCACTTTGACGTGATGCAAATGTCAGCAGTATTGAAGAGAAGAAAAAAACAGCTAAATATATTAAAGAGAACAATATGGATTGTGCTACTTTAGCATGCTCAGATCTGAAGGGTTGTCAAGCGTGCAACTAGGTAGTGTGCCTAATTTTGAATTTAGTTAATCAATTTAGGCTTTTGTTCTAGGCATGAAATTGGGGTACAGTTGGGGAGCTGCATGTTTTAAAGGTGAAGTTCAAGTTTGCTTTCCTAGCCAGATAATTTAGTTAGGTAAATATCTGGTTAAAAACAAAAACAGAGAAAACAAAACAAAACAAAAAGAAAAGAAAACAAAAACAAAACAAAAGAAAGAAAGGAAAAGAGAAAAGAACAGAAAAGTGGTAGATTAAGAAAATAACAGTTACATAGCAGATACTGTGGGCAAGAAATTGAGCTAAGGGCTTTGGAAATAAAGAGCAATAATTCAACTCATTTCACGCTCTTAACAGTTCTATGAAATGAATGTCATTATTATCACCAAATTAAAATGAGATATTTCTGGCATAGAGAGGGCTATGTACCAGGAAGAGCAAGGGTTCAAATCTAATGCAATCTGTATTGAACCCCACACAGAGTTTAGGATTCTAATCACTACATTTTTGAAAGGTAAGTCTAGTTCTCTTAAATCAAAATGTAAATACTATGGTCCCATTTCTATCTCACTTCCCAACCCAAACTAGACATTAATCTAGTTATACTATAGTAATATTTTTATAGCTACATATAGAAAGACTATAGTTATATTCCAACTTATCAACTAATTCATAAAATTACACAGAGAATATCTTCTCTGTAGTGGCTTTTCTCAATTTAAAGCTCAGAAATTTAGAAAATATTTTTTCACATCTCTTAAATATATATGATAAAATCATTTCTATAAATATTTTGGTCAACTTTTGGCCAAATATAGAGTTCTTAATATAGAGAGTTAAATGACTCCTATAAATTCAATGGAAAAGAAAAGTAATTCAATACCTAGAAAAAATGGACTATTTAGAATATGAAATGATTTATTTCAAATAACCATAATTTAAACTCTGAAAAAAGTATTTTCCATCAGATAGACATAAGTTTTGCTGTAGAGTGAGAGTCGTAGCCAAATGATGTATTTGAAGATCATGTGATGCTATTTCATTCATATAGTCATTTTGCCCTTTTCTTAAGATGTTCTAATTATTTAAGACAATCCAATTTCTTATTTTGTCATTTGGTTCCTTTTTCCTCAAAGTTTTTGGTGAGAAGCAGTCTGAAATCACAGCTAATGCAAGGACCCATGCTGAGCACAACCACCTTCCTGCTGCTGAGAGTGGATCACAGGGCTACCAGTAGAGAACTTGGTTTGTCTCACTCTGCAAAGGTTTTCTTCTTCCAAGTTTAATGTCTCAAATCTCAAATCATCTGCTAATAGTAATGTGGTACATATGTAGAGTCCTTTATATTTATTATATTTTAAAGATATTTTTCTTTATTTGCATCCAACTTCGAAACATAGTCACTAATTCCAAGTCAAAGCAATGTTATTTTACTAATTACATCTTTACATGTTATATCTCATTTTTAGTAATTCCTTAATTTTAATTTATAACTTTATGAAACTTTGCATTTAGATCAATATATCATTTTAAAGTAATATAATTTTCCCCATTTATAAAATAACTTTATTGGCCTTGTTGTCTTCCCAGTCTCTCTTTTTATGTATTCTTGACATAAAGACTTATTGTTTTTATTCTGATCAATCAATTACTATTTTTTTCAATAATGCTTCTTATAAAGCTCAGTGACAATATACATGTCATACCTGCTCTCCTTCTCTTAAATACATAAAACCACAGTGCCAGAAAAGCATTATTCAAGTTAGTTAAAAGATTTGGTGAAAAATGGTAATAACAAATTCTAGAACTTTTTAAAAATTCACCTCCACCCACCCTCAACCTGAAAAATCCAAATTTTTCTTATATGTTAATAGTGTATAGAGAAGAGATTGACCCTGCCCCCTGCCCCACCTCCACCTCTGCCTCCCACCAATATCCGTGTTAGGAAAGCTTGGGAACTCCACATCTGGAAGTTCAGGCCCAGAGATAATCATCTCATCACTTTGCCAGCAGGAGCTCTTTCTCTCTGTCTCTCTCAATCTCTTTCTCACTGGCTCTACAAGCTTAGTTTTAAAGAAGTAGCTTAAGCCTTTGACATAAATTTCCCAGTATGAAGGGTATTGTCTGAAACTTATACAAGTGGAGACAATGTAAATTCTAAAGTGTCTAAAATACTTTTTAGTGTAATGTTCTGCAAGAATGTGACTCAATAAGGCATTCAGCAGTGACTCATTTTGCAGACATGAGGACTCGTCTTGCATCTTGGTTTAACTTGTCAATATCTGATATTCTTAATAGTTTGCCTGAAGCAACTAGCAAACTCTGGGCTTAAAGGGCAATTGCAGATAATATTTAACTTTTAACTCTATTCCGGAGTTTAACTGTCATTTACATGATTACTTAGAGTGACATTCCTGAACAGTGAGCTCTCAGGATAATTAAAATTTAATTTTCTTTAGGGATAGAATACAGGAGATTATGTTCAGCTTATTAGAGCTGACCCTTTACTCCTAGACAATTTTCCAGTTTAATTTGGCTTATGTAGTACATAATTTATGTGGCCCTGGTTATTATGTACTGTACTTTTATTCTAACAGATGCTGCTTTAAATGCCCAAATTAAAAGTTCTCAATTCCTTTACTATTGTAGAAAGTAGCATTCTGCACGGGAAATAAAGGGGAAGAAAAAAATCAAGTGAGAATAGACTGTATTTTTAGACAAAAAAAAAGAAGTTCAGAAAAAAATAGCAATTATAAAATCATAAAATATTTGCAAATTTACCTTGAGATCTTATATTGAATTTTGCCTTTATTATTATTTCTGGAACACAAAAGAGTGCCTTAATTAACAAAAGTTTTTTAAAGTTTTAAAAAAATCATATTGCTAGTGTAAAAACGTATTGTCTGAAACTATAATATTCAGTATGGTATAACTGGCCACATATGACTATCTAAATTTTAAAGATTAATGAATTAAAATTAAATAAAATTTAGAATTCAGTTTTTAGTTGCATTGGCTGCATTTTAAGTGCTTAATAGCCATGTTTATCATATTGAACAGCACAGATGAGAACATTTCCATCATCTACTGATTGGACAGCGCTGGCTTCAAATAATACTTCTGGTAAACCTAATCGTTTCTCTTACATATGTTGGTGCTTTCTCCTTAAGTATAGTTGCTTACTACTAGGTCTACTGTTGCTTACTACTGGTTCTACTGTTTGAGGGCCTGAAAGTGACACCTTACCTTGTATGTTGAGGTGATCCAGTAACAATGTTGCAAAATTAACAGCAAGCCTGATGTCAAGCTGTCTGAAATTTCCTGATCACCACTGAAGAAAATGCCTAAAATCAGGGTAAGACTGAGGATCAGAATGTTTTTCTGGTGAGTTGAGGATCTATTATGAAGACTGGAGCGCTTGGAAGAAAACGAGAAAAAGGCATATTCTATGTGGTCAAAGGATTAAGTTCTACCTAGGCCCATCCTTGGCAAAATTCAAGAGTCCTTTGAAAATTTGGGGTGATTGAAATGTGTAAGGTGGAGAGGGAGCTCCCTAGATCCGCTGCCTCATCTGTGCTTCCAAATCTTCTGGATGTTCCAACATTTGAAATAAAGAGGATTTGACTGTGTAAAGATTTTGGGATGTTGAGACTAAGAAAGTTAGAATATAATAGTGCAGGGAGAAATCGATTTGGGCCTTTCTTCTCCTTAGGAGAACAAAAACTAGAGATAATGGGTACAATTATGAGACTATTTTACAATATCCAGGGAAATCTCAGTCCTTTTGGAGTGCTATATTTTCACAGAATGGAAAAAAAAATCTTGTGGAATATATTTTCTATTGTCTTTTCAGCATATTTTAGAGATTTTTTTCAAGTTTAAAATGAATTAAATTAAAAAACATATATTTTTAAAAAGAAAAATACATTAAGATGAATAAAGTTTAAAAATCACAATATTGAACATTCATATTCAAATTTTTCTCTATTTTTCTTCTTTTGAATAGGACTCTCAAATTAAAAATGTGACAATGTAAAACTGTAGCATCAGTGTCTAAGTCACCTCCTGAAAGGCAATAGGCCTGGAGATAGCAATATTAGGTATTTACCATTCCTTAACACTGTCACTTTTTAGCAGGGTGTTTCATATATGGTCAGTGGATGATAAATAGGGAAAGCCTCCAGTTTTTGATATGGGGAATAAAGAGGGAACTAAAAAAGCTTTGAAAACTTCTAGGGAGCCTGTTTATCAGAAGAAAAGCACCAGGAGCCACGAACATTAATTTCTGATATGAAGTCCTTTACTGACTAGCTGCATGAGTTAGGATAAATTTCTCTACATGTTGGGAGTTGTTTCCTCAAATGTAAAATGAACAGTTTAGAACAGTAGTTTCCTAACGTTCTCTGACTATTGCATTCCTAAAAGTAAAATGAACAAGGGGAAAATCCCAGCTAGTAAAACACATAAGACTTTCACTGTAGAATGGCACAGCATTTCAACTTAGCAAAACGGTATTTTATGTTGTGTTGATACAGGAATGAAACTTTGGAAAAGTTCCATCAATGTAGACTGATTACATATATTAAAGCTATGAGTATGTAATAAACTATGTTTGTCCAGAAAAAAGGGAACAATTTACATCATGTGGCACAGAAGTCTGTCTCTGGCAAGATAATAAACTTCTCTGTTTCTGCTATCTAATAAAAATAGGGGGACTGAGAATTTAAGTAAATAAAGCTGAAATTAAGCAAATGCCCGTCCAGAGGCAGAAGGAGATTAAGGGCTCTTTTTCATCAATATTTAATTTACTAAGACACTCTTTAGTTAAGTAACTTTCTTATACCACTTGACAGCTTGGTTCACCCTACAGTGAGCCAAGGCGATTCCTAAAATAACCACACTTATGCTACAGCATCTCATCAAGGTTTTGCCAACATGTTTTGTGTGACGTGGGAAAAGATATAGCCCTCTGTGCAAATCGTGAACCTAAATAAAGACAAAAACGTTCTTGACTTCAAAGTTCAAGCTGTGTGCATGACTCAGCCTGGTAGTGTCACAGCTTGTCAGCACTGCAACTTTTTCATTACATGTATTTCTTTGGGCTCTGTTTTAGGAAGATATTCAATTTAAGCAAAAGAAAGTTGGAGTCCCTTCTAATCATAAAACCTAACATTGAAAATAGCCTTCAGACCCAGAATTGCAAACACCGAGACACAACATAATTATCTGTCTTCCTTACTCTGACTGTTAGACTCAGCTGCCTCCAAAGAAAATGGAAATGATATGGTCCTGGAGGGAAAACAAAGCAAAGTCAATCATTTATCTTCCCAAATTTTCAGGACTATCCTAATTTGTATACACTTTGCATTTCTCTTGCACAGGCTGTTGTTAACCTACCTTGATATCTTACATACCTGATGAGGTGACTGAGCCTGATGCCTCTTCTCCTTGATCCTGAGACTATTTCTTCTCCTTAGGAGCATCTCATTTATTTTACCAAGGAAAAGTTAAATTTAGCAAACGGACCCTTTCACAGTTGAGAGTTCTTGCTGATCTGAGAGCCTGTCAAGGTGATTCTATGCCAACTTGGACCTGTGTGCAGTCGAAGCTTCCAGTCTTGCCAAATGTTGTGCTTATTTTGTGACAAAGATGAAAATCACAGTTGGATTTAAAAGGAGGCCGTCTAACTTATTTTATTCTTGTCTCAAGTCTCTGAATCTGTGTCTCCATGACTGAAAGCTTTGTAAATAAACAGGTGTCCACTTATCCCAATGTGAATTAAAGTTTCATGGAGCCAGAGGGAGAGTTGATTTATTTAAAAAACGAAAAGTTATTGTAATACTTTTCTTTGGTATGTGGAAGTAATAGTTACTCTATAATTTGTTCTGTACATATATTAACACCCATACTCGTAATGTTTTCATGGGATTTATAGTAGGTGTGTTACATAAAAGGAAATGGATTTGACAGATGAACTAGACAAGCTCAGGTCAATGTAAATAAATGTTTATGGACTGGTAAGTTTTTCAGTAAGTGCCAGAGAGAGGTCATATGATGTGTTTATGCTTTTATGTACAAGATACAAACACAAAAATATGTATGTAAGTAAACAAAATAATATTCCCCCATTTATTATTAATGTGTCTGATATAGTAATGCACAAATACACATGCACCTTTATGCAAAATCATATTTTCTTCTAATTAACTTATTTCCCCAAGCACCTAAGAATTACGTGTTTGAACATTAAGCATGTTAGGTACCTGCATTTACAACTACTTCAGCAAACTAAATGCCCAGAGTGCCTAATTTACAACAGCACAATAACTTAGGCATTTAGAGATCCATTCAGTGGGATTACCTTGTTTTTACTACTAAATTTAGGTTTTGGTGATGATGTGGTATTAACTGTAAAGTCAATTTTAAGAGTTTTGAAATATATTAATATATAATATGCATAGCTACATAATATTCACACAATATAGAAAATATCCTCTCTTGAATTATCTTAGTAATTATATTCTTGAACACATTTTAAAACCTTTATTATTTATGAATATACTCATTTTCTATGTTCATCTCATGTAGCATATGCATAAACTTTTTATGTAGGTATTTAAGGAAATAGGCATAAGTAGGCATCTTTGTCATACATATCATTTGTTTTACAAGCATTTATATTCCCTGGTTGGAGATTTTAGGAATTTTACTACAGGATGATCAATTATTTAATTTAAATATATAAATTATTTAATTACAAATAAAACCACAGCAGGTTGTCAAAATACTTCACAAACAGAAACCAAAAAAACCCATTATGTCTGTTTTTTAAAAATACCTCAATAATTAGTCTCATGAAACTTTCATTATTTGAACATCTTAATTATTTAAATCTATAAATTAACGAATCTAATGACACAGTATTGAAATTTCACCCTAAATGTACAAAGCCACTTTACTCAAGGATGTCCTAACAGCTGGGTGGCCTAAGAAGGCCTCATTCACATGTGTAGCATTTGGAAGCTAGCTGTTGGTATGGGGTCAGAGGAATGACTAGAATGCAGGTGACTTATTCCATAGTTGACTCTCTCAGGCATTCCACATGGTAGTCATAGGATTCCAATAGCAGTAAGGGTATAAACACTTTCAAGCACCTTATTGTATCGCATTTGCTATAAACCACTGACTAAAGCAAGGCGCATCACCAAGACGGGACTCAGAGTGTGAGGGGTGTATAATGGGCAAGGACTCAGGGGGGCAGAATAATCTGTGGTCTTTTCCGTAGTATTACACAAGAGTACTAAAGGTTTACATCCTACTGAAGGAGCTACCTTTCTAAGCCATTTATTGTTTCTTTTATAGTTTTATCTTATTGTGCTAAGAATACTTAACATGAGATCTACCCTGTCAACAATTTTTTTAAGTGTACAATGTATCTCTCTTGATTATAGGGAATAGGGAAACAGGAAACAGGAGAGTTACTAATTCATGGGCCTAAAGTTTTAATTAAGCAAGATGAATATACTCAAGAGATAAGTCTTGAAGAAAAAGGTCACTGGGTGAGGTGTTAAATATGTCAATCAGCTTGTTGGAAATCTTTTTGCAATATATACATAAATCAAAATGTCACATTGTATACTTTGAATGTATACAATTATTTATTTGCCAATTATACCTCAATAAAGCTTGAAAAAAAGATAATATTCCATGTTTTGAAGAGAATGAAAATGAGCTTAAGTAGCAGCTTTATAGATATAACCAAAGTTTAAATATCAGGAAGCATAGTTAGCAAATAGAAATGCCAGGGATGAAGTATCACAGGAGGGCAAGTGTAATGGGCTTGCCCCTTATACTTGTGAGGGATATTGGGGTGATGGGGCTCCTTAAAAGTATTTATTGCATTATATATGCATGTGTGTATGTGTGTGTGTGTGTGTGTGTGTGTGTGTGTGTGTATGCTTTCTGTTATAGCTGCAAAAAACCAATGTCCCTTCCTTACTCATACTAACCAGATACAGTATTTTCTAAATATGGTCCCTGAGCCAGGTGCAAAGGTACAGCTTGAGATGTTTGTGACAATTACAGCTTTACAAGTCCTATTCTCGAGATTTTTGACTCAGAAACACTAGGATGGTGCTGAGTAATGCAATCTGTAATGAACATCTCAAACTCTTCTGTGAACAAGAAAGGGTATGTGGTGGTTCAAAATCAACTTTTATTCCTTAAAGAGTTAGGCACCAACAATATTTTGTATTTGTTAATTTATTTCTTCTCACGTTTCCAGGCATTTCTTCTCCTTCTAGGTGCCCAAATGTATAATGAATCCCCTCCTACAAGGAACAGAAATATTATTTATAGTTTGAAATTACTTTTCAATCTTAGAATCTCTAATTTTTGAAAATAAAAAAACTTTGAATACCAACACTGAGAAGAATTATGAAAATGAAATCAATGGATTATCATAGTGTCCTACTTTTAAATGGATTTGCTATTTTTGGTTTGTACCTTTCAGAGTTGTGTTTCACAAGGGGGAAAGTGATGTTTTGCTTCCAAATTCACTTTTGTGAATGGGATTTTAAGCTTGTATCCAACTATTGTCACTATAGACATACAAAAATGTAGGTAGGTTTTGTAAACATAACACTATGGAGCACATTGCTGTATTAAAAATAGAAGTCAGATATTGTGACTTCCCGTAGAGGCTTCTTGTGACAACATAACATTTCAAGGCACTGAACTAGGTACAAAAACAAGCTGAGGAGTCTTCTTTCCTAAGGCTATCCATATGTTGGGGTAGGCTTGGATCCAGTCCTACCAAGAAGTTGGGGAACTAACTAATGAGTCCTGGTGTTTCTTCCTGCTGACAATTCTATATGCCATTATAAATCTTTCAAGATATGCGGTTCTCTAAACAGGTTTTGAACAATTAAACATTAAATTTGTAATAGAAGCAGACAGTGAGCGCTCACAATCATAATTTTCAAAATAAAAAGCTTTCCTGTCACCTTATTCACTTATCTAAATATGCAACTATAAGCATTGAAGTTTTTCAAGTAGAAACTTAGGGGTGCATGAGCTATAATCAGAGTGGGGAAGAGGCAGGAACAGATTGTCTTTAACATCAGGCAAGAGTGTTATCTTGGACTGTCTGCTCAGCCTGAGGTGCTTTGACACTTCTTTCTAGCACACCTAAAAATACTTTTTTTTTTCCCTCCTGCTGCTGCAATCACGACCTTTAAGTCAATCAAAAGAGCACATAATTTCTTTTCTGAATATATCAATGAACAGCATCTTCAAAGACTTAACCATACTGTCCTTATTGAAAAAGAGTAAACAGCACAAAGAGTAAAACATTTTTCTCAAATCATACACACAAACATCTAAAAATAAAGGATGCATATATTTTTACAGAACTCTGTGTAAAAATTAAGACCTTAATGTTATCTGTAAAATATCAAGAAAAGCAAAGAAAATATATTTGATTCTTAGGAGAATTAATCATGAACACTAAAAAAACTAAGGAAGACTGTGTATTTTGAAGACATTATTTACCAGAAATATATATCCAACTAAATCTATGTTTTAAGCATCAAAAGGCACAAAAATTTCAAGCTTTTTATGAATTCATTTATTCACTCAATATACAATTATTGAACACTTACTGTATGCTGGACTCTGTGCAAATGCTGAGAACCCAGAGACAATTCTCCAGGACTTACTAGCTAGTGGCAGAGACACATATATTAATGTCATTAAAATTATGAAAGAAAAAATACAAAGAGTGTTGATAGCAAGTTGCATGGCTATATAGTTTGAGGGTCAAGGGAAGCATAGTAGAGAAATAGACATTTGAGTTCAGATCACTCTGTGCTCTATGAAACTGAGTCACAATTCTTTTTTCTGAGTTACTATCCCTTCTCTGTTCCCATAGCAAACCGTGTGTGCACATTAGCCATAATGATATGTTGGTTTTGCTGATTTGACTTCTAACACTTAAACAGGGAGTTCATGGAGAGAATGGACTATACATTCTGAGTCTTTTAAACTCCAGCACATGAAATGTAGAAAGCTGTCAATAAATGCCTACCAAATGAATAAATGACGTAAATGAGTACTTGCATAATATGTTTGAATATGTGTATTTTTGAATTTCTGTAAATGTGCATTTATAGATATTATTTTTTCAACTAGCATCAAAATTCTTCTTAGGAAGGAAATACTGTTTAGGAAATTATGTTTCTTTGATGTGGAAAATGAGACCCTGAAGCTATACTGTGAAAATAAACTGCAAAAGGAAACTAATAGCTAAGCTTCTATGCTTAAAAAAAATGAAGATAAATTTGGGAGTGTGAAAGTAGAGAAAGGTGAAGTATAGAGATGGAAGTGTGAAGAAGGTAAATCACAGGTGGGGAGGCTGAAGACTAGGCAGAAAAATGACCAGGCAGAATTTTTCAGGGACAGAGTGACCAAAATTCTGCTAAATCACAAAAGTGTCTAATAAGGAATTTTAAATATTTATATTTCTGTAATGTAAAATCTCCTCTATTCCCAAGGTCCAGTAAATTCTATAATCTTATCTTTGGAAAACACAAGTAAAATAATCTGAGTTTGATTTATGACTTAGTGCAAGGGAGAGAAAAGACAATGACCCTGAGGGATGGGCTGTAGCAAAGATTAAGGATTTATCAAGAGGATTACCAGGTCTGGATATTATGAAGTTACTGGTACTGGACCAGCTATCTTACGGCAGGCAATCATAAAGCTGGGCAAAATATATGAAACAAGTTCTTTCTTTATTCACTCACAGTATAATTATTGAGCCATTTCTCTGTCTTAGACACTGTGTAAGTGCTATCAACAAGCGGCACAAGTCTCTGATCTTTAACAGAGTAAAAACTCACAAAGTAAGCCTCATGTCTCCCCTAGCCAAATCAACATTTACCGTGCATGAAGCTAAGTCAATGAAGGGCAAATACAACCTGCTCAGTTTTGATTAGAGTTTGGAACAACTGCTGTAACTGGAATGTCTGGTGCCATACACTAGAGAAAAATACATTGTGCAGAAGGAAGTATGAGAGTCCCTCACGCATCCTTGCTTGAGGACTGTGCTGCATATATACGTGACTGAATTTTCAGAAAACAGTTGCTTCTGGGTTGAGAGTGAAGTTGAGCTCATGGAGGTAAGGAGAACCGGCAGATTTTGGGGATCTAGCCCGGCCAGAGTGGAGAGAGATCGCTAACACCTTATTAAGACCTTAGGCATTCCACAGAGACACAAAAAGAGCCAACTTATGAGTGAGGACCACACCATATAGTAAAGACTTCTCTATACTTACCTTAACAAAGTTTAAAACCAAGACTTAAAGAGATCAGTGCTTTGGAGTTTGAGACCTACCAAGTTTGAAGTGGTTGAGGAATACTGGGATTCTACAAACTGACTTTCACAAAGCATACGAAAAAGCCTGTACAATTTCAAGGTGATCATCCAGTAATTGGACTATTAGAAAAATAAAAAAAAAACAACACTTCAGAGAGAAGGTAACAGAATCTGGCGTCTCTATAATGTATTATCCACAATAGCCAGTACACAAGCAGAAATGTGATCCATGTTCAGGAAAAATAGCATTCAAGGAAAACTAACCCTGAAATGGCTGGGATGTTCAATTTATAAGACCAAATCTTTTTAAAAGCTTGTGTAAATATATTTTAAAAATTAAAGAAAATATAGTCAACTAATTAATGAGTGACTAGATAGGGATCTCAGCAGACAGTCAGAAACTAATAAAAGTAATCAAATCAAAATTCTAAACTCAAAGAAAATGAAATAGAAAAATTTCACTGGAGGTATTTAACAGCATATAGGAGATTGTAGAAGAGAAAATCAGAAGACTTGGAGACAAATTACTAGGAATAATCCAGTCTGTAGAATAGTGAAGAAATGGGGACAAATGAACAAAGCCTAAGGGTCAATGTCAAATAATTTATCGTACATCTGACTGGGATCCTGAAGTAAGAAAATGAGGGAGAAGGAAATAGCAAATGAAATTACATTTGACAATTTGCAAGATATACTGTAAAACACCACCTTTCACTTTAAATAATCTCAGAAAGCCTCAAGCATTAGAAATATAAAGAAAAGCGCACATAGTCCCATCATAATCCACCTGCTGAAAAGCGAGCATGGAAAAAACACCATGGAAGCAGCCAAATAAAACAGACACTTTACATATGGAAGAAAGGATGATGCAAGTTATTACTGACATCTCTTTTAGAAAGAGTAAAGGACAGAAAAAATAAAATGACCACTTTAAATTACTTTAGAAAAGAGAAAACTGTCCACTCAGATCCTACAAGTTATTTTATATTTAAACTTCTAACTTTATTAAGTAAGAGTATTACTCACCTCAATATTTAAAAATAATTTTTAAAGACATTATTTAAAAAATAATTTTAGAGCAGTTTTAGGTTTACAACAAAATTGAAGAGAAGGTACAGAAGTTTCCCATATACCGCATGCCCTCACACATACATACTATCCCCCATTATCAACATATTCCACCAGAGTGGTACATTTATTACAGTTTCTGAACAAATATTGACACATCATTATCACCTAAAGTCCATAGTTGGCATTAGGGTTCACTCTTGAACTCTTAGTGTTATACATTCTATGAATTGGGACAAATGTATAACAACATATATGCACCATAATATTGCCATACAGCATATTTTAACTGTCCTAAAAATCCTCTGAACTCTACCTAGTCAACCCTTCCTGTTTCCTAACCCCTGACAGTCACTGATCTTTTTACTTGTCCACAGTTTTGCTTTTTCCAGAAGGTAATGTAGTTGGAATCATCCAATCATATGTAGCCTTTTCAGACTGGATTCTTTCACCTAGCAATATGAATTTAAGTTTCCTCTGTGTCACTTTATAGTTTGTTACCTCATTTCTTTTTAATACTGAATAATATCCCACTGTCTGGATGTACCACAGTTCATTTATTATTCACCCTCTTAAGGACATCTTGGTTTCCTCCAAGTGTTGAAAATTATAAACAAAGCTGCTATAAACATCCATGTATAACTTCTTGTGTGGACATAAATTTTCAATTCCTTTGGGTAAATACCACGGATCATGGTTGCTGTATTGTATGGCAAAAATGTGTTTTGTCATGTAAGAAGCTGCCAAACTATCTTCCAAAGTTGCTGCATAATTTTGCATTCCCACCAGCAATTAATGAGAGTTTCTGAGTTTCCACATCCTTGCCAGCATTTGGTATTGTCAGTGTTCTGAAAGGTCATCCTAACAGATTTGTAGTGGTATCTTACTGTTGTTTCAATTTGCATTTTCCTGATGACATATGATGTGGAACATTTCTTCATATGCTTATTTGCCATCTGTATACTAACTTTGGTGAAGTGTCATTTAATGTCTTTGGCCCATTTTTTTAATTGAATTGTTTGCTTTCTTCTGAATATGTTTTAAGAGTTCTCTTTATGTTTTTAATAATAGTCCTTTGTCAGATGTGGCTTTTCCAAACATTTTATCAAAGTCTGTGGATTGTCTTCTCATTATCTTCACATTCTCTGCTACAGAGCAAAAATTTTTGTTTTAATGAAGTCCAGGTTTTTGTATGGTGTATTTGGTGTATCTTAAAAGTCATTGCCATACCCAAGGTCATCTAGGTTTACTCTTATGTTATCTTCCAAAAGTTTTATAGTTTTGTATTATGCATTTGGGTCTATAATTCATTTTTAGTTAATTTTTGTGAAAGTTATAAGATTTGTGTCTAGGTGTATTTTGTTTTTTGCATGTGGATGTCCAGTTGTTACAGCATCACATGTTGAAAAGACTATTTTTCTTCATCGTATTGTTTTTGCTCCTTTGTCAACTGTCAAGATTAGTATAGTTATGTGGGCCTATATCTGGGCTCATTATACTTCTTTAGCCATGTATTTGTTTATTTTTTCACCACATTGTCTTGATTACTGTAGCTTTACAGTAAGCTTTGAAGTCAGGGAGTGTTAGTTCCCAACTTTTTTCTCTCTTTAAACATTGTTCGTTATTCTGGGTTTTTCTGCCTCTCCATAAAAACTTCAGAATCAGTTTGTCTATATTCACAAAATAACTTGCTCAGATTTTCATTGGAATTGCATCGAGTCTACAGATAAAGTTGGGAAAAACTAACATCTTGATAATATAGAGTCTGCCTATTCATGAACATGGAATATCTCTAATTATTTTATTTCTTTCATCTGATATTTTAAAGCTCTTCTCATATAGATCTTATCGTAATTCTTTTGAAAAACATGAATGTTAGTGCTGAAAATACTGCATCATTTGGATATTAAACATTCAACCAACCATTATCCTCTTATTATTTTTGCTTGTTTTTATGCTTTTGCAACTATAGATTGCTTATCAATCAAATTCATTTCCTCAGAATAAATATATAAAGATTAATTCTGAGGCCAAGGGTGAGAGTATTTTAGATTTTTATAACTAGTTCTAATTATCTCAAAGGTAGTTATACTAATGTACACTTTATTACTGTAGTGCCCAAGAAATCATTTTAATATACTTTGCTAATATCAGAGGCTCTCATTTAAGAAATAATCTATATCAATTATAGAAGTGAACAATTACATCTTTGCTTACATTAGCATATATTAATTATTCAGAATAATTTACATTTTTCATATGTTTATTGCCATTGTATTTCTTGTTTTGCTAATATTCTATTGACATGAATCAGATAGTCTTAATTGTGCACAAGCCAAAGAGGAAAGGCGTTCATATGGTTAGGGCTCTTTATACGATACTTTATTTCACAAGCATCGGTATTTATTAATATTTGTAAATTAAAAATGTCAAGTATGGTTGTGCTATGTCAGTGGTCAATAGTTATTATTTACTATTATCTTTTTCAAGTCCTTAGTTAATAAGAACATTATGGGTTGTTCAAGACTATAATAAACACAAAATTAGTCTTTGTACAAACTGAAATCTGCCTTTAAAACATTCCTCATGAGGCCAGGGGCCGTGGCTCACGCTTGTAATCACGGCATTTTGTGATTGTCTTGTTAGATAAACTTTGGGAAGCCGAGGGGAGTTGATCGCCTGAGGTCAGGAGTTCGAGACAAGCCTGGCCAACGTGGTGAGACCCCGTATCTACTAAAAATACAAAAAAAATTAGCCAGGCGTGGTGGTGGGCGCCTGTAATCCCAGAAACTTTGGAGGCTGGGACAGGAAAATCTCCTGAATCCATGAGGCAGAGGTTGCAGTGAGCTGAGATCCCATGAGGCAGAGAGGTTGCAGTGAGCTGAGATCGTACCACTGCACTCCAGCCTGGGCAACAGGGCTAGACTCCATCTCAGACAAACAAACAGACAAACAAAACATTCCCCATGGATTTTCTTATTGTTGTGGAGAAGTTTCCATTTCTTATCACAAGGTAGAAAAAGCAAAAGAACAAAAAACTCTTGGCAGGATGAAATTAAGTCACTTTCAGAATCTTGTGCTTAGCAGATTAGCCTGAATACAGAAAACAAACTGTTTCTAAGCCAATTATCTGACAAACAACTAAATTAATTTCACGCTTCAGCTTATAGGGCTTTATTTGGTCACTGGTAATACTATGCCACTATTTTCTCTCTCTTAAAGCTCAGATATGTCAGTTATAAGATATCTATTGGTTTATAAGAGCAAGTAAGACTGTTTCAGCAGATTTGGTGGCTAAAGAGAAAACAATTACCTCTTTTGTTTTGCAACTCTGGTGAATATTACATGAGATACAACTGACATCAAATATAAAAAGACTGTAAGAAAAGTGCTTCAAAGTATTTTTCAATGTAAGGTTAGTTATGTAGAATACCTTTCTGCTTTGTTGGCATCACAATAACACAGGGTTCCCTTGTCTGTCACTACCCTCTAAATCCAAGGACTTGATTTAATTGTATTATTATTATCAAAGACTAACTCATGTTGGATCTGGAACAAGATTATTTAGAAACAAAGCAGCCCTAGATCCTTGGTAACGTATCAACAGGCCATCCCAAAATACTTCTCTATTACCAATTGAAAGGGCTGATTCAATTTTTTAAACATGGATTAATACGGAAAAATGGAAGGTAAAAGGGTAAAGCAGCACATAAATAATCCTTCTAACTTTACAGTGATCTTTCATGAATGGAGGAGGGCTTATTTGCTAGGTAAATGTCACACAAGTGTTGAGAAATAAAAAAGCCAGCAAGTCTTGTTAGACAAACTTCTCCACCAATCCACTTTGGGATGTATTCTAGGAGCTACACCATTTTTTTTGTTTGTTTCGGGATAATGACATAAAATGATGCCAGTCCAGGTGAGGTTGCTGCATGCAAATATACTAAACACACTGGAGGTACATTTCTATGCTACATTTTATGGCCACACAGAGACAAGCATTTTATTAATGGCATAGAGGTAAGGCCTTCTGTGTCCCATTGTTTTATATCTGTGGGGAAAAATGTTATGCTTTTTTTTCCCACGTGCTACGGCAGTTAGTGACTGAGATGGCAGCACCTTATCCAAGGACATTCAAAAACATACAGCACATTTGCCTATAGCAAACTATGGAAAATGTAAGACACGCTCATTAATCAATCCTAATCTCAGCGGAACAGGGTATCATGAGACACTTTTTTACTTTCCCTGTTCTTTAATAAGACATTCTCATAAAGAGAATATAGAATTATACAGCTTGAAAGTGGCGTGCCATTAAATGAGATGCAGTGCTTGGGGCTCCTAATTGCAAAATCGTGAGTTTATACATCACTGTTTTCTAGACGTATTTAAAAAATCAGCACATGTTTTCTCATTTACTCTCACACTTCAGCTAGGATTAAGGATCAGGATGGAAGCCTGTTTATGTGACCTCTGAAAAGACCATCCAGGAGAAACCACTTTGGATGCTCTACTTTAAAAAGACAAGTAGGCAATGTATCCAAGGCTTGCTGTCAATGAAATGAAATGGTTGGAAGTTATTTTTGCCCTCCCCTCAATTAGGTGAGCAAACGGTTTATTGAGCATATTGATTAAACTGTTTTCCATCTTCTCTGCGTTTCTGCAAGCAGCAAAGTGCCTGCAGAATCTATAGGCTGAAACTTCAAATTTTGAAGTTGATAGTTGAAGAAAGAGTTAGTTTTTTTTTCAATAACGTGAAACAGTTCAATTTTGGATTCACACTGCCAGAATCTGTTTAATGCTTCCTTGTATTTAAGCAATTAGTGTATGCGTTTAAAAATGTTCCTACGTATAGATTCTTAGCCATTTTAAATTAGGACTTAACCACTGTTTAATTTTAAGCAAATACAGGGTAGGGAAAACATTTTATTAAATACTTCTGTATTACACTACAAAATCTCTCGTATTTTACAGACAAAATGTGAGACTTAAAGTAATAATTGAATCCTCCTTTTAGGTCATAGATCACATACACATACACACACAAAAAAGCACATATTTTCTATGTGGAGAACATATATTTTTTAGAGAATAACAGGAATGCTCTAGCAAATCTGACCTTAAAATAAAAATCTGTCTTTTGTTTTTCTCCTGAAAATGTATGTGAATTTAGAAATTTCACTTAACTATAATGATTGATTATTTATTGTGTGCAAGTAAAGAAGAATGTAAGTATCAATTTCCCTGAAGTACATTTCCATGGGAATAAAACTATATGAAAATGTACAAATGTAAAAGGAAAGGTAAAAAGTATTTAAGAAAGATTTTCAAAATGAAGGCTTATGCAGAAAGAAAATGTAGTTTAATTTTTCTTCATTTTAGTGAGTTAACAACAATGAATATTCCTATTCAATTCAATTCAACAAATATGTATTGAGTAACTATTTATTGGATAGATGTTGGAAATAGAGGAACAAATAAAACACAGGCCTTCTGTCCAGTTACTCATTGTTTAGTTCAAAAAGACATTTGAATACTCTGGTAATAAACCTGTGACATCAAGTTATCAATTTTTAGTCTTTTGTATTTATTTATATCTTAAACTTGTACTTAAGTGAAACTATTTGCTAGCCCCACTATGAATAATAAATTCCAGAAGTTTATTTATATTTAAAAGTAAAAATTATGTGTAACCTCTTCATTTTATGGACTGAATGATGTTTGGGTGTTGGGATTTTTTCCCCACACAGTGTGTCAGAAAACAATGAAGCTGCAATCTCAATTCTATCTCTTCTGGTGTTCATGATTGGATAAGGCTACTAATTATAGGAGCCAAAAATGTCAATAGGAGGGAAAACATGAAGAAGCATCATGTTCTGCTTGCTCCCTCATTCGCTACACACAGCTGCATTTAGTCATGATGGACTAATTAGCTCTAGTTACTTTTGTTGTTATTTCAATGGCTTTGCTAGAAGGATAGAAGGAATAGTATGGCAGACAAAAATAATATCTCCTGTATCATCTAAAGACTTAGAGATATCATAGCAAGTAATGAGGAATCTACTCTTCCCTGAGATGGCACGATCAAGATGGCATCTTCAAAATAACCAAAAATGAGAAGAAATGTGTAACATGAATAAATAAAGTTCTGTATCTATCCCACTGACTTGCATTAAAGGTAGAATCAATACAACTTATGGTAAACAAATGCCATTATAATTTTAAATAGTAAAACATTAAACTTTTACTACTTTGCCAATATGAGAATTCTTCACTTAATAAACACTACATTTATTTCCCAGAGAGCTTTGTCCTGTGCATTTTTCAGGAATACTCAAACTCTCATGTTTTCTCACCATCTCTTATGGATGGAATTCCTAAGAAATTAACTGCAGAAAGATACATTTAGCTTATTAGGTTTTGGGCCAAAGTGATCCCTCCCACATGGCAATACACGTGGAGTCAAAACCACGTGTAGACGAAGAAAAAGTGAATGTGTATGGCTCTATTCAGAGGCAACTGGCTAGGACACTATTTTCAGTGTAAGTCCCATGTTTGGCTTTAATAACAATTACAAGTAGCCGTAAAATGTACTTACTGTGCTATCATTAATTCATGTGGTCAAAATGCTGCTGAGTTGGCAGATAAGTGCAGCCCAAAGCCTAACTTTCATAACTCTGGTAACGATCAGTGGGGCACACAAGATCTTCAAGTCACATAATTGTGGTGATCTCAGTATGCTCAGTTCTGGTGGACCATTGCCCATACCACTAAATCAGCATTCACAGCACTATGCACATATGGCACAGCTGGAGTACAGTGGGGGCCCAGGACTTTGTTCACTTGGGGGCCAAGTCACTCTTAACCTCCATAAAAGACATCCCTTTAAAGAACAGGGGAAAGGTCATTGCAGCTCATGCCAAGTGTAAAAATAAGAACTACAGACAGGAAACACTGTTCAGATGTTGTAGGGCTGTAAGCCTGTTTTATGTCTGCTCTGAGCCCTCTGTAGCTACAGGAGACCAGAGACGTACTCGCCATCCCCATTTATGCTAGGTCTGCAGCCCAATGGGCCCAGACATTAAAAACAGGAAAAATCCAGGGGCTAATCAGGAATTGCCTGTCTCAAAGGAATGACATGAAATACTGCAATAGGACATTGTGTGATTGGACTTGTGACTGTGATGTGTTGTTGTGGGTTGTAGATTGAGTGTTCAACATTATGAATGTGTGACACCGAAGCAGGCTGGAGCATGAATGCATAACTACTTACTCCCAAGTCACCCATAAAATTGAGTTGTGCCTCTCCTGAGAATAGCAGGGAGCAAAAATTATAAATAAAATAAATGTTCAGTGTGTCTGAATTAATAAGCATATATTAAGATCATATGTAACTAGAAGAAATAAGAAAACAGAACAACTGAGATTTTCCTCAGTAATAGGGAAAAATAGGGGAAGCTATTTTTATTATCTAATTGGTAAAAAGGCCCCAATTTTTCTGTCAAAGTTTATAAAAGAAAAATATGCACAGGTTCCAAGCAGGGGGGAGTGTTGTGTGGTAAATGTGGAAAATCACTCAGTGGGGAAATACATTTCACACACAAGAAGATGCTTATAGACAAAAGTTGAAATAAAAACCATATTAAATGGTGTGATTTTTAAGGTACTTTTTCTTTATTAAACTAAAAATTATAACTAGTTTTGTGAGTAAACTTATATCATAGTTTATTTAGTTTGGATCACCAGATAACCAGTCTGTCAGTAATATTTATTCATCTCCATGCAAACTCTATTTTTAGCAACTGACCTACCTTCCTTCCTTCTTTCCTTCTTCTTTCCTTCCTTCTTTCCTTTCTCCTTCCCTTCCTTCCTTTCTTTTCCTTTCTTCTCTTTCCTTTCCTTTCCTTCCTTCTCTCCCTTCCCCTCCCTTCCCTTCCCTTCCTTCCTATCTTTTATTTTCTTTTTTTATTTCTTTTTTTACCTCTTCTATCCTTAAAATTGGCAAATGGATTTAAGAGACTTTTAAAATTAAAGACTATATATTTTTTCTGTCATTCAGGGGTATGAACTCAGAACTTGGGAGCATGGGGAGGATTGGGTACTAAAATTGTAAACGATGTATGTATTTTTTTAAACTGTGGACATTACCTTTCATGTTGACATACATGAAAACAGCCATTCATCCAATGGATGCCAAGGCAGAGATGAAGGTTTATGATACATTTGCCATTTTAGCAAGCATGTGCTTCAAAATGCTTTAGCCACACCATGAAGTTGTGAGGGACAGATACATATTTATTAAAAATTATTTTCCCCACATAAGTTCACAGACTTATGAAATGTGTATGTATTTTTTTGTGAGGAAGAGGTAGTTATGAAGCCTTATAACAAGAGACTTTTATGTCAGGTGAAAAATAAAAGATATTCAATCTAGAGTGAAATTATAATAAGCATTCATTTTTGCAAAATTTGTTATGATAGCACAGTGGGCCCCTCATGCTCATCTCTCTAGAAGTCTTCCACCCTCAATATGCCCATGCTGGTGTGTCTAAAGATTTGTTTGATTTCCTTATTTAGATTTATGTAATTTACTCATTGTGTATATTTTTGATTATTTGATCCATTAAGAAATGCATTTCAAATCATTGTCACATAAAATACACATCTTTTTATTTGCATTTATATTTTACTTACAGAGGAGAAAAATTGTGCATTGTACCATATACTTATAAAACATACATACATTTACATATATGTAGATACGTGTATACCTCAGTTATGTATATTATATAGATCCATACAATTTAGTGGTCTACTTTTATTTTAACCTTTTATTATTGTATTAAAATAATCTTAAAAATTATTTCCCCTAATACTTTATTTCACGAATAAAGAAATTAAGGTAGCAATAAGTTAAGTATTTTGGTACTATATCACATTGCTTATTAGCGGCGGAGAGAAACATCAAAATTCCAGTTCACTGTCTCCTTCATGAGGGCTCTTTTCACTCTTACATGTTACTTAAATTTTCCTTCAAATTCAGACATATTTGAAACCATTTCATGTATTGAGGCCCTGAAATTCTCTTCTTTTTTTTTATTTTTTTTAAATTATACTTTTAAGTTCTAGGGTACATGTGCACAACGTGCAGGTTTGATACGTAGGTATACATGTGCCATGTTGGTTTGCCGCACCCATCAACTCATCATTTACATTAGGTATATCTCCTAATGCTATCCCTCCCCCAGCCCCCCACCCCCCGACAGGCCCTGGTGTGTGATGTTCCCTGCCCTTTTATATGGCTGTACAGTATCTTATTTCTTTCAGTTTGTGACTGAATCGTAAAGTTCTTTGCAAACTAATGTAATTTGAACAATGATTTTGAAAACTTCAAGATAGATCCTACTTATCTCATGTATATAATTTGGTTCTACTATGTTTCTTTGGTTCTTTTACAGGCTATCAAGATATATTTTTGAGTACAATGAAAACAGTGAATTTATTTATTTAATCATTATTTCTATGATTAGTTGTATTTTGGCAATTATAAAATGAATAGCTTGAGAAATATTGGTGTCTTTGACATCACTCTGGAAACAGAGTGACATAATATATGATCACTTTTGTGTTATGTAATAAACAGATGTACCTGTCTCTACTTAGTAAGTGTCCTCTGAGAGTCACAATGGTCAGGTCCCACATGACAGAAATGCTACCTTTCAGAATTGATTCTATAATGCTTCCAGCATCAACAATACAGCAAGATATTTAGAATTTTCATCAGTGACCTAAGTAATATCTTAGAAGCAAGCTTATTGCATTTATTGTTGACAGAAACGGGACAGGATATTTCAGAGAGGGAGTGTTTGTTTTCCCCTAGAAAATGGGTCCGGAATTTAAAATGAGCTTAAAGTAAAAAAATATATATTTTATTTATTTGTTTTTAAATAATTTCAGCTTTTACTTTAGATTCAGGAGTTACACATGCAGTTTTGTTACCTGAGTATATTGTGTGATGCTGAGGTTTGAGGTACAATTGATACCGTTACCCAGATACTCAGCATAGCACCCAATAGTTAGTTCCAGTGTATATTTATGACCACCTTTATGTCCATAAGTACCCATTGTTTATCTCCCACTTACAAGAGAGAACATGCAGTATTTGGTATTATGTTTCCACATTAGTTCACTTAGGATAATGGCCTCCAGCTCCACCCATGTTGCTGTTGCTACAAAGGACATGATTTTATTCATTTTTCTGGCTGCATAGCATTCCATAGTGTATATGTACCACATTTTCTTTATCCAATTCACCATGATGGGCAACTAGGTTGATTCCATGTCTCTGTTATTGTGAATAGTGCTGCAATGAACATATGAGTAAATCTTTTTTTTTTTTTTTGGTAAAACAATTCATCTTCTTTTGGATAGCCAGTAATGGGATTGCTGGCTCAAATTGTAGTTCTGTTTTAAGTTCTTTGAGAAATTTCCAAACCGTTTTCCACAGTGGCTGAACTAATTTACATTCTCACCAACAGTGTATAAACATTCCTTTTTCTCCACAGCCTTGCCAACATCTGTTGCATTGTTAAGTTTTTAATAATAACTATTCTGACTGGTGTGAGACAGTCTCTCATGCGGTTTTGATTTGCAAGAAATAGATTTTAAATGTAGGATAATATGCATAAGAAAACTTAGAAAATAAGGATTAAAATACATTAAAGCTTTAAAATTTGAAAGAGGCATCCATCTTTCTGTATACACTTCCAGCTTCTTTTTATCTCTATGTTAAGTTATTACATTACTAATTTTTTAAAAAATGTAAATATTAGCCTGAAACCATTTTTATCTGAAAAAAGCCAACTCTCATGAAAAGCAAACCAGAAATAGCAGACTAATTGAGTGCAATACATTTAGTTTCTTTTATAAGAGTGGTTTCATGTCATTAGACACATTCTGATTATCTCCAAGAAAAAGATATATTTATTTTCATGGCTAGGTTAAAAAAGGATTGGAATTGCATCAATATTTACTACATTTTGTGTAGCTACATCAATAAGTAGCTACACAAAATGAAAGAAGAGCAGGGTAAAATAAAACAACCTAACTTACTATTTAGTCAAGGAAAAAGAAACCAGTATATTAAAGGAATGTCTGCACCCATGTATTTATTGTAGCACTGCTCTCAGTTGCAAAGATATGGAATCAAGCTAAATGTTCATATTTGGATGAATGAATAAAGAAAATGTGCATATATACATAACGGAATACTATTTAGTCATAAAAAGAATAAAATCATGTCATTTGCAGCAACATGGATGGAACTGGAAGTCATTATGTTAAATGGAATCAGCTAGCCACAGAAAGACAAATAGCACACATGGGAGCTATAAAAAAGGTGGGTCTTACAAAGATTTAGTAGAATGGTAGATACTGGAGATTGGGCAGGGTGTATAGCTGGGAAGGAGGGGAATGGAGAGAAGTTGATAAATAAGTACAAATATACAGTTAGATAGAAAGGATAAATTCTAATATTTGATAGCAGAGTAGGATGACTGTATCTAACAAGGTATTGCATATTTCAAAATAGCAAAAAGTAAGGCCTGGAAATGTTCCTAACATACAGAAATGATAAATACCTGAGGTAACGGATACCCTAAATACCCTGACTTGATTATTATACATTCTATAAATGTAACAAAATATCATGTGTAACCCACAAATACGTATAAATATTATGTATGAATAGAAAGAGTCAGTTATCATTTAAATGGCTTTGGGTTATCAGAGTCATTTCACTGTTACCATCACTTCAACCTTTGTTTCATAATAATTTGTCCAAATGGCATGCAGCTGTTTTGTCCTTTAAACAATCTTTATTTGGGGCATTTTTCCCTTCTTTTAAACTTCCCATTGTTGACTAAAATAAATTACCATGTTCTATGTTCCAGTGCCTTGGGACTCTCCAGCCACTTCCTACGATGCCTACTATCTGTTATAATCTTTACATCTACAAATTCTATAATAAAAGATTACTCTGTTGACGCATTTAGCACATATTTATTGACTATATATTCTGTACCAGATTCCTCATATATGAAACAGCAGCATATAGAAGAAATGATCAGACTTGGTGTCACAATAACAATTTTTAAATCCTGCCTCTGTCTCTCTTGCAGCATTGGGTATTTTGTTACATCATCTGTGTTTTATTACTCTTATGTGTAAAATGCAGTAGTATCATTTTCCCTGAGCATTTGAGGAGGTTAAGTGAGATGAAATATATGAAAGTGCATTATACAGTGCATGGGACATGCTTCATAGTCAATAAATATTAGGTTTCACTCAATTTGAGGTTAAGTTCTAGAGTTACTAAAATGTATATGACATGCTGCCTGTCGTCAAGACGCTTGCAGTTTAGAAGAGAAGCTCTAATTTCAATTCAATAAATGGTGTTTTACCATGGGTCGGTATGCATTATGGAGCATAGAAGAGGAAGCGATAAAACACGCAGAGGAAATACCTTTGAAATCATATTCATGTCACTTACACCACTGGTTCACATGCCATTGCATCAGGATCCTCCTCTCCACCACAAACAAACAAATGAACATATTCTAGGTAGCCCTTTGAGCCTCCCCCAAAATTCAGCAGACTGAATGAGTTCATTTTAGAATGCTCAGCATTCTAACAATTAGATAACTACTGAATAATCCACTATAGGCACCCAAACTGATACTTTATAAACTAGATAAAAAATAGAATAAAATTATACTACTAGGTTCCCCAGTAAATAGTATTTAAATAGTGAAAACAATATAAATAGTACTGATGTTTGCATATAATAAACAACACAACACGGAAGGCTTATCTCTGATAAAAGCAAAATATTAACGTTTTCATCTTGCAAAGGAAAATAATAAAAGTATGTAGATAAGTACCAAGATGGAAGAGATGAGAGAGGAGAGCTGAAAAAAGGACAGGTGCAAGAAAACCTCATCTTACAATAAGGAAAGTCAAAAGCTTGTGACTGTTTTTTATGTATCAAAAAATGAAATATAAGTATATGATTTACAGTTACAAAGAGCATACTGAAAATTGAGCTAAAAGTATATTAGGAAGGCTTGAGGGAGGTTAGTAATTTTTCATATATGAAAGGAAGACTCTGATGGGTCATGTCTTATTAAGTTGATAGATCTAGAATGGCAATAAAACAACAGTTTTAAGATATGTAAGTAAAGACAATATGAGCAAATTGTTTAATTTTGGATATAAAGACAGAATAATTTGTATTGATCGTTGCACAGAATACATTTGATAACTATATTATGCATATTATTATACATTTAATATGTATATTTATGATACATTCACTATTATTTAAAATAATATTGTTTTTCTAAATCTATGTCAATACCAAGTAAAAAAAAGATTTTATAAAAATTTTTAAAAAGTACTTTTTAGCATTAAGGTTAATAAACATTTATATATTTGAATGTGCTCATTGAAATTAACATTTTGAATAAATAAATGTTAAGGAATATCTAATTATATGGTATGTTATTATATGTCATTATATTCTATGATATTTCAATTAGAAAAAATCACTTTTTAATTTCAAAAAATATTTCTAAGATAAGTTAGCCAACTTTTTTTCTTAATGAGACTGCTACACTAAATATCACTTAAGTCTGGCTTGTGTGTGACTGTGGAGGTCGTAAATAGTGTCTCCCATTTATTGCTGATTTGCTTTTTTGGCATATGATAATACTTGTGCTTCTTTACCCTTTTGAAGTTTATGAGTGGCTGGATGGCTTGCTTTGGTCACTAGTCTCAGAACAAATTAACTATTTGCCATTTCTCTTCAGCTGACTGATGTTATCCTTGTGAAATAAACCTTGGGAAAAAAATCTCCTGATTGATGGAATGGAACATAGCCCCCAGGAAACCTACAAGGACATATAATGTGAGCAAGAAGTATCCTATGGTTGTTTGAAGTTACTGAGCTATAGGGACTCTTTTTTACTGCAGCATAATGCCACCTATCATGATGAATAACATAAACCCAAAGTTTTCCGTGTTTTAGGGTCATCTTTGTTATATTATTTCCATGTAAAGATCATTGACATGATAGCTCTAGACAATTATGTATAAACACCACAATCTAATATGGAAAAAATCTTAACAATAATCCATAATTCAGTCTGTATCATATTTTCTGCCTCTCTTTCATATCTCATGTAACTTATAAAAATGTACACCTATGTACCCATAAAAAATAAAATATAAAATAAAAGTAGTTAATTGGAAAAATTAAAGAAAATATATGTGTAAGACTTTGGTTTTTTGAATGTTGACCAATATGTATTTTGCTATAATCTTATTTAAGTTTGATGAGCTAAGTGTATATTATTTAAGTGAATTAAGATCATTACCTGAGGTAAAGTTGATCAAATCTACTATTGATGTAATGTATATAGAATTCAGAAATTAGACAAATATTCAAGAATTGTTTTTGGGGAAGCTATTTTATCTAGCCCTTTCATTTTATAGATGAAGATAAAGGAAACAATATGATTTTTAAAAAATCACTTAGAAAGTGTGTGACAGAATTGAGGTTAGAAGCCAGTTCCCTTGACTTTTGGTTCAATTTCTTTCCATTATTGTTTCTAACATATGTTAGACATTTTACCATACAGTCAAAGATTGTATGGTTCAGTATAATGTAAATTCACAAGTTATTTTTCTTATTTAGGGATTTGATTAAGTCACTTCTAGTATATTAGTTATTTTTTTTTCCTGATTGTTTACAAAGGCAATGGACATAGTTTGCTTTAAAAACTATCATCAAATAAAAATGTGAACTCAGATACATTTTTTAAAAGCACCATAAAGGGGAACAGCACACACTGGGGCCTTTGAGGAGAGAGGGTGGGAACGGGGAGAAGATCGGGAAAACTAACTAATGGGTACTGGGCTTAATACCTGGGTGAGGAAACAGTCTGTACTACAAACCGCCATGACAGAAGTTTACCTATGTAACAAACCTGCACTTGTACCTTGAACTTAAAATCAAAGTTAAAAAAAAAAAAAGCAGCAGAAGTGTTTCCAGTTTTGCATACCATCTAGTATAGGCAGAACTAAATTTCCTTGTACAGAGGAAAATGTCTTGCAAAGAAAAAGGCTTCCTGGAAGTCAAATAGTTTTGCACAACAAGTTTCATGAGCTAAGTGTACATTAATCAGAAACATCTGAATTAAATTTTCCTTGAAATATACATAAAATGAAGAGGAACTGTGGTTTGCAGATTGTGTTTCAGGTTCTATTCTAACATTTTTCCAGCCTCAAATAGTACCAGTTTTTTCATTCCTACTTGGGAGTTTATAAAAATGCTTAGTAGACCACAGAATAAAACCGAATTCATCAGAAATCCAGTACAAATATGAGATAGATAATAACATAACCTTACCTAACTCTTCCTCTTCATATAAAGTATTAGAGCTGAGATTTTTAAAAGGTTGTTATGAAGACTAACTCTTAACTATTTGAGGGACAAGAAACAATCATCATGAGGGTAAATATCAGAAGTTATTTTCGTAGTCTGATATGCTAACTTTCATTATATGGAACTCAGAGCTGGATGCCCTGCATTATTTCGCAGATTTTAAATATATACCATTATAACTTGTTTGTGTGATGTAGCTCTGATATCCAGGGTGGGTTCCCTTCTGTCACTTAGTGACAGATAATAAGCCCTAATTCCAGTGTTATATAAAAAAATCATTTGAAAACAATGTTGTCTATATTTGAATTTGCAACCGTTTCCCAGCAGTGAAATTTGACCTTTTCCTGCAAAATGGCATGAGGTTTTAAAGAAATAATGAAAACAAACTTATGATCCCAGGAAAAATACATTTCAATTAAAAAGAGGACCTATCATCCATGATTTCTTTCACTGTATTAGAAGTGTTTCTTTGCATATTTCTCTTATTCTGTCATTACTTTAATACACTAACAGGTATATTTCATGGGCAGTTTACAGTAGTCTGAAATTGAGCCTTTGCTGAAAAGACTATCAGTATAAAATAATTTAACATAATCTGATAAGTATATGCCTTAGTTCATTTCTAATAACTATAGTGGCAGTTGAATTACATTGCCAAGGGATTTAGACATGTAAATCTGCCTGCTGAAAACATTACTAAGTTTTATAAGGGCAAAAATTTGCCTTTGTATAACTAAACATAATAGTTACGGGTTCTGTGGTCTCATTTTGTATTCTCTAGTGATAGGGTTTACAATTATATATATATAAATATATATAATTTATATATACATAATTTATATATATAAATTCTGACATATATGTGTGTGTGTATACACATATATATACCAGAAGATTAATACTGTATATATATACCAGAAGATTAATACTGGCACTTGAAATATTCAAATATAAAATAAATTAGAACAGTGAATAAATGTCTGATTGCTGCTATAAAAAAACAAGATCCATAGCTTTCATGAATAAATGAATGAAGGCACCTTAGCGCAGCATGAAAAACTGAACTAGAGGTGAATTTCACTGGCTTTCCTGGAAAAATCTCATATGCAAAACCAGACCAGTTCAGAAAATTTCCCTAGCTGATTACTGGAGGCACTAAGAATACAGTGCTGGAGTTTAGGCACACTGGATATGTCATGCTGGGTTATGTGTGGGATTTGAAGATTCATATGCATGTTTGCTAGTTCCTTGTTATAAGAAATTAAAATTTATTTGATCCTTGTATTGTTCTTCATTTGTTTCAATTAAACCTGCCAGTTTTCATAATTTCCCTACATAAAAAATACTGCTTTGCTCTCAGAATACATAAGTTGAAACTGTAAGTGACATCAATAATTATTATTTTTGAATGTATTTTAGGTGCTTTACTTTATTTCATTTTTTCCATAAGTTATTGGGGTACAGGTGGTATTTGGTTACATAAGTAAGTTATTTAGTGGTGATTTTTGAAATTTTGGTGCACCCATTACCAGAGCAGTATATACTGCACCATATTTGTAGTCTTTTATCCCTCGCCCTGCTCCTACTCTTCCCTCCAACTCCCCAAAGTCTATTGTATCATTCTTATCCTTTTGCATCCTCATAGCTTAGCTCTCACATATCAGTGAGAACATATGATGTTTGGTTTTCCATTCCTGAGTTACATCACTTAGAATAATACTCTCCAATCTCATCTAGGTCACTGCAAATGCTGCTAATTCATTCCTTTTATGGCTGTGTAGTATTCCATCATATATATATTTTTTCCCATCATATATATATATTTTCCATCACCTATATATTCCATCATATATATGTGTATATACACGCACATATATACACACACACACACACACATATATATATACACATACATATATATATGTGTGTGTGTGTGAGTATATATATTTATACAGTTTCTTTATCCACTCGTTGATTGATGGGCATTTGTGTTGGTTCCATCATTTTGCAATTGTGAATCATGCTGCTATAAATGTTCATGTGCAAGTATCTTTTACGAATAATGACTTCTTTCCTCTGGGTAGGTACCTAATAGTGGGATTGCTGGATCAAATGATAGTTCTACTTTTAGTTTTTAAATGAGTCTCCACACTGTTTTCCATTGTGGCTGTACTAGTTGACATTCCCACTAGCAGTGGGGTGCACTGTTCACCGCATCCACACCAACATGTACTGTTTTTTGATTTTTTGATTATGACCAATCTTGCAGGAATAAGGTAGTATCACATTGTGGCTTTGATATGCATTTCCCTGATCATTAGTGATGCTGAGCATCTTTTCATATGATTTTTGGCCATTTGCATATCTTCTTTTGAGAATTGTCTATTCATGTCCTTAGCTCAGTTTTTGATGGGATTATTTTTTTTTCTTACTGATTTGCTTGAGTTCTTTGTAGGTTCTGGATATTCGTCCTTTGTCAGATGTATAGATTGTGAAGATATTCTCCCATTCTGTGGGTTGTCTGTTTACTCTGCTGACTGTTCCTTTTGCAGTGCAAAAGATCTTTAGTTTAATTAGGTCTCAGATATTTATCTTTGTTTTTATTGCATTTGCTTTTGGGTTCTTGGTCATGAAATCTTTTCCTAAGCCAATGTTTAGAAGGGTTTATCCAATGTTATCTTTTAGAATTCTTATAGTTTCAGGTCTTAGGTTTAGTGCCTTAATCCATCTTGAGTTGATTTTTGTATAAGGTGAGAGAGGAGGACCCAGTTTCATTCTCCTAGGTGTGGCTAGCCAATTATCCCAACACCATCTGTTGAAAACGATGTCCTTTCTCCACCTTATGTTTCCGTTTGCTGTGTCGAAGATTATTTAGCTGTAAGTTTTGAGTTCATTTCTGGGTTGTCTACTCTGTTCCATTGGTCTACGTGCCTATTTTTATACAAGTACCACACTGTTTTGGTGACTATGGCCTTATAGTATAGTTTGAAATCAGGTAGTGTGATGCCTCCAGATTTGTTGTTTTTGCTTAGTCTTCCTTTGTCTATGCAGGCTCTTTTTTGGTTCCATATAGATTTTAGAATTTCTTTTTCTAATTCTGTGAAGAATGATGGTGGTATTCTGATGGGGATTGCATTGAATTTGTAGATTGCTTTTGGTGGTATGGTCATTTTCACAATATTGATTCTACCCATCTATGAGCATGGGATGTGTTTCCATTTGTTTGTGTCATCTATGATTTCTATCAGCAGTGTTTTGTAGTTTTCCTTGTAGAGATCTTTCGACTTTCTTGTTAGGTATATTCCTAAGTATTTTATTTTTTTTTGTGCAGCTATTGTAAAAGGGGTTGAGTTCTTAATTTGATTATCTGCTTGGTCGCTGTTAGTGTATAGAAGAGCTACTGATTTGTCTATATAAATATTGTATCTGGAAACTTTGCTGAATTCTTTCACCAGTTCTAGGCACTTTTTAGAGGAGTCTTAGGGTTTTCAAGGTAAATGATCATATTATCAGCAAACAGTGACAGTTTGACTTCCTCTTTACCAATTTGGATGCCCTTCATTTCTTTCTCTTGTCTGATTGCTCTGGCTAGGACTTCCAGTACTATGTTGAAGAGGAGTGGTGAGAGTGGGCATCCTTGTCTTGTTCCAGTTCTCAGAGGAAATGCTTTCAACTTTTCCTCATTTAGTATTATGTTGGCTGTAGGTTTGTCATAGAAGGTTTTTATTACATTAAGGTATGTCTTTTGTATATGCCAGTTTTGCTTAGAGTTTTAATCATAAAGTGATGCTGGATTTTGTTGAATGCTTTTTCTTTATCTATTGAGATGATCATGTGATTTTGTTTTTAATTCTGTTTATGTGGTGTATCACATTCATTGACTTGCATATGTCAAACCATCCCTGCATCCCTTGTATAAAACCCACCTGATTATGGTGGATTATCTTTTTGATACGTTGTTGGATTCAGTTAGCTAGTATTTTGTTAAGGATTTTAGCATCTATACTCGTGAAGGTTATCGGTCTGTAGTTTTCTTTTTTTGGTTACGTCCTTTTCCTGGTTTTGGTATTTTAAGGTGATTCTGGCTTCATAGAATGAATTAGGGAGGGTTCCTCCTTTCTCTATCTTGTGGAATAGTGTCAAAAGGATTGGTACCAATTCTTCTTTTAATGTCTGATAGAATTCTGCTGTGAATTCATCTGGTCCTGAACTTTTTGTTGGTAATTTTTTAATTAGCATTTCAATCTTGCTGCTTGTTATTAGTCTGTTCAGGGTATCTAATTCTTCCTGATTTAAGCTAGAAGGGTTGTATTTTTCCAGGAATGTATCCATCTCTTCTAGGTTTTCTAGTTTTGCATAAAGGTGTTGATAGTAGCATTGAATGACATTTTATATTTCAGTGGTGTCAGTTGTAATATCTCCTGTTTCATTTCTTAGTGAGGTTATTTGGATTTTCTCTCTTTTTTTCTTGGTTAACCTTGCTAATGGTCTGTCAATTTTATTTATCTTTTCAAAGAACCAGCTTTTTGTTTCATGTATCTTTTGTAATTTTTTTGTTTCTATTTCACTTAGTTCTGCTTTGATCTAGGCTATTTCCTTTCTTCCCCTGGGTTTGGGTTTAGTTTGTTCTTGTTTCTCTAGTTCCTTGAGGTGTGACTTTAGATTGTCTGTTTGTGCTCCTTTAGACTTTTTGATGTAAGAGTTTAGGGCTATGAACTTTTTTTTTAGCATTGCCTTTTCTGTGTCCCAGAGGTTTTGATAAGCTGTGTCATTATTGTCATTCAGTTTGATGAATTTTTAAATTTCCATCTCTATTTCATTTTTGACCTAATGCTCATTCAGGAGCAGTTTATTTAAATACCATGTATTTGCATGGTTTTGAAGGATCTTTTTGGAGTTGATTTCCAGTTTTATTCCACTGTGGTCTGAGACAGTGCTTGATATAATTTCAATTTTCTTAAATTTATTGAAGCTTGTTTTATGGCCTATCATATGATCTATCTTGGAGAAAGTTCCATGCGCTCTTGAATACAATGTGTATTCTGTGATTGTTGTATGAAATGTTCTGTATATATTTGTTAAGTCCATTTGTTCCAAGGTATAGTATAAATCCATTGTATCTTTGTTGACTTTCTTTCTTGATGACCCATCTAATGCTGTCAGTGGAGTATTGAAGTCCCCCACTATTATTATATTGCTGTCTATCTCATTTCTTAGGTCTACTAGTAATTGTTTTATAAATTTGGAACCTCCAGTGTTAGGTGCATTTATGTTTAGGATTGTGATATTTTCCTGTTGGACAAGGCCTTTTACCATTATATCCAGTCTCTCTTTGTCTCTTTTAACCACTGTTGCTTTAAAGTTTGTATATAAGAATAGCTACCCCTGTTTGCTTTTGGTGTCCATTTGCATGAAATGTCTTTTTCCACCCCTTTAAGTTTATATGAGTCCTTATATGTTAGGTGAGTCTCCTGAAGGCAGCAGAGTGTTGATTGATGAGTTCTTATCCATTCTGCGGTTCTGTATATTTTAAGTGGAGCTTTTATGCTATTTACAGTCAATGTTAGTATTGAAATGTGAGGTACCATTGCTTTCATCGTGCTCTCTGTTGCCTGTGTACTTTTGGTTTTTGTTTTTGCTTTTTTAACTTCTATTTTTGTTTTATAGATCTTGTGTGATTTATGCTTTAAAGAGTTTCTGTTTGGATGTGTTTCCAGGATTTGTTTCAAGATTTAGAGTTCCTTTTAGCAGTTTTGTAGGGGTGACTTGCTAATAGCGAATTCTCTCAGCATTTGTTTGTCTGAAAATGACTGTATCTTACCTTCATATATGATGCTTAGTTTCACTCATACAAAATTCTTGACTGATAATTTTTTTGTCTGAGGAGGCTGAAGATAGGTACCCAAGCTCTTCTCGACTGTAGGGTTTCTGCTGAGAAATCCGCTGTTAATCTAACTGGTTTTCCTTTGTAAGTTACCTGGTGCTTCTGTCCCACAGCTCTTAAGATTCTTTCCTTCATCTTGACTTTGGATAACCTGATGACAATGTGCCTAGGTGAAGGTCTTTTTGTCATGTATTTCCCAGATAGTCTTTGTGCTTCTTGTATTAGGATGTCTAGGTCTTTAGCAAGGCCAGGGAAGTTTTCCTTGATTATTCCCCCAAATATGTTTTCCAGGCTTTTAGAATTCTCTTCTTCCTCAGGAACACCAATTATTCTTAGGTTTGGTCATTTACCATAATCCCAGATGCCTTGGAGGCTTTGTTCATATTTTCTTATTCCTTTTTATTTGTCTTTGTTGGATTGGTTTAACTCGAAGGCCTTTTTTTCGAGCTCTGAATTTCTTTGTTCTACTTGTTCAATTCTATTGCTGAGACTTTCCAGAGCATTTCACATTTGTAAAAGCGTGTTCACAGTTTTCTGAAATTTTGATCATTTTTTCATTAAGCTATCTGTATCCACAAATATTTCTCACTTCACTTCTTGTATCATGTTTTAGATTTCCTTACATTGGGCTTCACCTTTCTCTGGTTCCTCCCTGATTAGCTTAATAATTAACCTCCTGAATTCTTTTTTCAGGTAAATCAAGGATTTCTTCTTAGTTTGGACCAATTGCTGGTGAACTAGTGTGATTTTGGGGGGTGCTGAAGAGCCTTGTTTTGACATATTACCAGGGTTGGTTTTCTGGTTCCTTCTCATTTGGGTAGGCTCCGTCAGAGAGAAGGTCTGAGGATGAAGGCTGTGGTTCAGATTCTTTTGTCCCATGGGGTGTTCCCTTGATGTAGTACTCTCCCCCTTTTTCTATAGATGTGGCTTCCTGCGAGCCAAACTGCATTGATTGTTGTCTCTCTTCTGGGTGTAGCCACCCAGTGAGTCTGTCCAGCTCCGGTCTAGTACTGGGGTTGTCTGCACAGAGTCCTGTAATGTGAACCTCCCATGGATCTCTCGGCCACGGATTCCAGCGCCTGTTCTGGTGGATGTAGAAGAGGGTGCAATGGGCTCCGTGAGGGTCCTAAGCTCTGGTGGTTTAATTGACATTTATTAAAGAAGGTATTTTAGCAAGAAGAATAAATGATTCCGTTAACTTAACTTATGATAGACATCTGATCTTTCCCTATCTTCCTTAAAACTCAGAATATGTTCTTGAGAAATTGACTCAGTCAAGTTTGTCAAATAGTGTTTGTCAGTCTCACTCTGTTTCTCTTTTCTGTGCTACACGCTACCAGATAAGTAAGTTCCTATGGGAAACTAAAAATAAGTGTTCTTGCATTGGCCTTGGTAAAAAGGAAATTTTTATTCCAGAAGATTCAGTGATTCCTGATTCTTCCAGAACACAATGCCTGTAATTCTATCTACATTTTATCCATGTAGATGAAATGTTTTGACTTCTTTATTAAAGTAGAAATGAACAGAGCCTTGAATGTGGGAAGGATAACACATTATATTCCTGCTCAAACGGATCCAGAAGCAGAATC
This sequence comes from Homo sapiens, assembly GCF_000001405.40. Classification (NCBI taxonomy): domain Eukaryota; kingdom Metazoa; phylum Chordata; class Mammalia; order Primates; family Hominidae; genus Homo; species Homo sapiens. The sequence continues at coordinate 88,841,116 of NC_000003.12, forward strand.
AGAAGAAAACTGAAGTTAGATTTTCCTGATAAATAAGATATTCTAAATTTATCAGGATTTAGCACTTCTGACACAGAATGAGAAAGTAAAAAACAAATATTCCAATAAAAATAAAAAAATTTGGGAAAAAACATGAATTTAATTTAAAAACTTGAATTTAATTTTTAAAAACTTAAAAATTTGAATATTTTTAATACAAGCATTTTCCTGTTGTAGAAATAGTTTTAATTGTAGTTACAACAAGGTACTAGATTGAAATTGAATTTTAAGGCATGTGGAAAGAACCGTGTTGTAGCCTCTGTACATATTCTTCCTTGTCTTTTACAATCACTAGAGCTTGGTTTCTACAATTTAAGTTTTGATTTTTGACAGAACACAAATTCCTCTAGATAGGTTATTTTGAGACTTTATCAATCACATACTTTTAATTTAGTCACATCTGGTTCTAAAGACTTTCTTATCTCTTGACACCTTTCCAACACTCATTCTCATTTCTTCCTTCCACTGCCAAAATCACCATATTTTCTCACTGCCTTTAGTTTATTCTACCATAATACTTGTTATGAAATGGACATGTTTTCCAATAAGATTGATATATTAAGGAACTCTTTGAGCAAAATCAGATTTTGTGTTTTCTTATGCATGATTTTGTTCATAGTAAATACTAAAAACATGCAGAAAATTGCATCTAGCTAAACCTAGCCACATAATATGCAAAGCACACACATACATCTCAAAAATCTGCAGGTGTCTCCGTCTACCATGTGTGTTATGAACATATTCATCTACATATGATGTTACAACTTTCTATCCAATTTCAGATAACCTTCCTTCCACCACCTCACAATAACACTCAAGCTGCTAAAACCCTTCTAAAGCCCACTTCCACGAGCAAACTTCAGGTATTTTTCAAGATTGAATGCTGTATTTATTGCAGTATATGCTATATATTGTTCATTTCTTAACTATTTATACATTGTATATGTATTTATGTATATATTTTTACATTTTATGTATTTCTGGACTATTTACTAGTTTTAAAAGTGTAATACAACTTTTATTACATTCATACGGTTTTGCTTTTCTTTGATTTTTTTTTGGTTTAACATATCATTGACAATTTTTGCCTCTTGTGTCCTTAACTCCATTTCTCTATAAGTGCTGTGAAATTACTGTGAATTATAAGTGCATTTTGTATCGTGTAGTTAATTTTAGAATGAAGAATCAGATCATAACAGAACTGACTTAATTTTGTCTTTAGTTTTTTAGTCAGGTACAATGTGCCTGCCATTGTATTGAAATTGATAATGGACACACAAATTAATACTTTTAATTGTAGTTATAGCAGGGTGCTAGATTAAAATGGGATTGTAGAGCACCTTGATATTGTCTTTGAACCTTGATGTAATGTTATGTCTACATTCTTGGTTTTCATACTTTTCAACATTATTTGAAACTGCTGGTGCTTCCTCAAGTTTTTTTAAACAAAATATTACTGGATATCTTTTATGTAGACAGCATTTCTTTAAATTTACATGGGATAGAAAAATTAAGCATATAGTTTGCCTGATAGAAAAGGATAAGTCAAAGAGTTAACCAGTTCTACTGCTGACAGAATCAGTGGTATAAAGTGATATGAATACAGCAGGCTTCAGATCTGCATGTGGATATGAAGATGTCACAGAAGATGAAGTATTTAGAGATAGTAACAACACTGACTTACATAGGCTTTGTGTTTTCACTTACTGTTTTCTATGAGACAAGTTCCTTGAGGACAGATTTTTCTCATCATCATCCTTATATGCCTTTGAATACATATCAAATTAAAGGAATCTGCATAGCATTTAACTCTTTTTAACTTATTATGCCCTTGCCCAGAAGGTTGACTGCCACAACAAGTGTTTACTTAATGATGAAGTAATCCTTGGCTTTAGCATATATGGCAGGAATTGAAAGACAAAGAAGGAAGAAAAGAATTTCAGTGTGTCACATTAAATTGACAAAGGTTTAGAGGTAGTAGTAAGTATTCTGGTATGTTCAGGCAGTAGCTGGAAGAGTGGAGGACAGGAGGCAGTCATAAGTAGAAGTTTTCTCAGTAGCAAGTTAATGAATCTGTACTTGAAGCTCTCTTTTCTCTTGCCTTTGACACAATTTTTTAAACTCTTCACCAACTTGTTTAGCTTTTCCGTTTACTCTTCCAACTGATGGTTTTAGTCATCTTTTTGCATCCTTAAATACAGAAAATGCCTTTTCCCCATACAGATTTGTCCCATTCCCATTTAAATTCCAAAGACCAGCTTAAATGCTGCATTTTCAGTGAAATTTTACTGACCACGCCAGCTGGAACTAATCTTTCTCCAAATGCAAGGTTTCTGCAGCATGACAAAATATTTAATTTACTTATTTACTATTAAAACACTTACAGAAATACTTTTTGCTTGGTGTAATAGTCTGTTTTCACATTGCTATAAAGAACTGTCAGAGACTGTGTAATTTATAAAGAAAAAGGGTTTAAAGACTCATAGTTCTGCATGACTGGGGAGGCCTCAGGAAACTTGCAATCATGGCAGAAGGGGAAGCTGACATGCCTTACCTAGCGGCAGGCAAGAGAGAGCAAGTGTGAAGGAGGAACTGTCAAACATTTAAAAAAAAAATCAGATCTCGTGAGAACTCACTATCTCAAGAAAGGCATGAGGGAAACCACACCCATTAGCCAATCGTCTCCCACCAGGTCCCTCCTTTGACACATGAGGATTACAGGAGTTACAATTTGAGATGATATTTGGGTGGAGATACAGAGTCAAACCATATCATTTTGCTTCTTACTAAAGAAAATATTTTTCCTCAAGCACAAGATGGAACTTTATATACTGGTTACAAATTTACTTAATAAAAGTAAAATCACAAACCTTTTAATATATGTGCTATGGCGCTACACATTTATTATGTCTAACTATTAGAAGAGTTTTCACCTTCCTTATAAAAATAAAAATCTTATTTGAATTTATGGATTTCAAAGAAAATTTTATTTGATTTTTCATTAAACGTGAAAGTCAACATACAGTGGGTGATTTTGTTCTTGCTGCAATTTTTTTTCAGAAATATATATACAATATTCATAGAGTTTAACTACTTGATTGACCAAGTCTAAATCCAAATGTTTCTGAGTTTGCTAGAGTTTAAGCAGTCATTAGGCTAAGGTGGGGATTGAGTGTTCACACTGACAGATAATTTATTATAGGAAAATTTAAAAATCATATATTTGAATTTCTCATTGATAGCCCAGAACGCTCAGGCACGGTGGCTTACGCCTGTAATCCCAGCACTCTGGGAGGCCGAGGAGGGCGGATCACGAGGTCAGGAGATCAAGACCATCCTGGCTAACACAGTGAAACCTCATCTCTACTAAAAAATACAAAAAATTAGCCAGGCATGGTGGTGGGTGCCTGTAATCCCAGCTACCCGGGAGACTGAGGCAGGAGAATCTCTTGAACCTGGGAGGTGGAGCAAAAAAAAAAAAAAAAGAAATAATAACAGGAAGATCAGAACTGGAAGGAAAAGGGACATGGCTAGATGAGGAAAAGTTGAATTTCAAGAGCCCATAACATCCTACTGAGTAAATTATAAAGATTATTAGAAATAAAAGACAGGAGCTTAAGATTTAGGTCCCAAAGACCTTGTCATTTGGATGGTTGAAATAATGTACCTAGGTGGGATCATGTCATTGGTATTCAGTAGCCAGAAGAAGCAGGGAAGAATTGAGCTCCTAGAGGCCAAACAATGAACTAATTATATAATAATAAAATTGCACACTTCCAGAGTGAAAAGTTCCAGCATTTTGATATGCCTTAACATATTTGAAGGAAGGTTAGGAAAAACTTTGGCTAAGCCATAGCACTCGAGCATCCAAGAGATTTGACATTCAGGGAAGTTCCTAAGAGGATAGCAAGCCTGGAGTACAGTAAAATTGATTTGCTTATCCTCAAAATATTTGAAGAAGATAAACTTAGGTCAAAAACAGATTAAGTGTAAAAAAGAGCACAACTAAAAATAAAACCTGATAATTGAATGGAGGAAGATAAACACTTTTTATTTTGATCTGCACTGGTAAAGATGAGAGAGGTATGTTTGTGTGTGTGAGAGTGTACACACACAAACATATACATATATAAACATAAGTGTGTATATATACACATAAGTGTGTCATACACATAAGTGTGTATCTATGTATACATAGATACACATAAGTGTGTATCTATATGTATACATAGATACACATAAGTGTGTATCTATATGTATGTGTTTTTGTGTTTACAAACAGCATGTGTGTGTGTGTGTGTGTGTGTGTGTGTATATATATATATATATATATATATATATATAGCTTGTATATGGATATTCAGTCGATTATAACATCAGGACGCAGAAGAAGCTTTATCTCTCATTAGTTGCTTCTTTAAATCATTGTTTAGCAGAAATGCCTTATATCTCCCAAAGCAATTATTCTGATTTACTCCTCACTGAATATACGTCTAGTAACATTAAATAAATATGATATTTACAATAAAGTAGCTCTTGTACAATTACTTGGACCCCAAATATTTGAAGATTATAAAGATAATTACTGTGCTAAACATTCTACTCTTTATAGTTCCGTTTAATAAGTACATGGCTGATTTTTAAACCTAATGCATTTGCCATTTTCTAGTGGTAATATAAGTTTTAGGCATATTAAAAATGTGTATTAGCATGTTCTGTATGTTAAAAAATATACTCTCCTAGAAAAAAAATTATGTTAAACTAATTCTAGTTTAAAATGTATGGAATAAAGTAAATTTTAGTTCTGAGTAAATACTTCAAAATGTTCACAATGCCAGAAAATTTAGGTGTTGAGGATTATTATTATTGTTTTATTAAATAAACCACCTATAAATCAAAAGCTTTATTTTCCAATCTTTTTAAGTGAAGCAATTTCCCACTTATCACATTTGCTTACATTACTTGTACTTCTTAAGATTTATGTAGAAATAATTCTAATGAATCTAGAAAACTTCAATTATAGAATGACTGACATACTTGTATTTATGAAACAAACCATTACATTATGTGCATGATTGCTATTTTTGCTATGACCTACTTAGATTATATAGTTGCAACTCTGATAGTAAGTTTTAAAGTTTAACACAACATTGAATGTAAAATAATTAAAACACTCATTATCAAAAGATTGATGGTTATAAATTTGAGTCACTGGCAAACCTACGAAACGTCAACAATCATATTATTTCTGGCAGTGTCTCATTAACTGTAAACATGGATGAAATCAATAGATTTAATAGAAAAATAGCACGAAGAAACACATTCAGTTATTCTATGTGATTCATAGTAGAAAACTTTCAGATGTATTTTATTACATTTATGCTTACCACTACCAATTGAATTTGTAGTGTTGCTATTCTGATAACTGAATTCAACCTTAACATTACAATATTGACTGAACATTGTATAATTTGAACAAAGGTATTGTAGTATACAAATTTTCTTATCTATAATTGTTCATGTTTATATTTACTTTTTGACAAGTTGACCTTGAAACAAAAGCAGAGCCGAGAGAAAGAGAGAAAGGAAGAAGAAAAAAAGAAAACCTGCTTCCTTATTTATAGGCATGCTCGATTGAATACCCATATAACCCTATAGTGATAATACAACCTGTTTCTCATTATTAAGAATTTCATCCATTGCTTCCATAGGTTTGGATAGTATGCTAAGTTTGGTAGTAGAAAGCGTTCTCCATTTTCCCTACCAGCGATCTTCAAATGATTAACTAATAGTCTCACAATGATTTCCAGATGTTTTTCTCAATACAAGGAGTGCCAACTTATCTTCCACACAGGATGATGTGGGAAATGATATTCTCTTGTAGCTGTAAGATAGAGATCACAGTGGAAAATACTTCCCACCCAGAATCTGAACTTCTAAACAGGGGAAAAATTGCTCTTAATACCAGCCTGTTGATAAATTCAATAGATAAATTCAAGTTCAGGTTTGGTACATAGGCAAACTTGTGTCATGGTGGTTTTTTGTACAGATTATTTTATTTCCCAGTTATTAAGCCTAGTACCCATTAGTTACTTTTCCTTGTTGTCTACCTCCTTCTAACCTTCACACTCTGAAAGGCCCCATTGTGTGTTATTCCCCTCTATGTGTCCATGTGTTCTCATCATTTAGCTCCCACTTATAAGTGAGAACATGTGATATTTGGTTTTTCTGTTCCTGTGTTAGTTTGCTAAGGATAATGGTCCCCAGCTCCATCCATGTCCTTGCAAAGGACATGATCTTATTCTCTTTTATGACTGCATAGTATTCTATGGTGTGTATTTTCTTTATCCAGTCTATCCTTGGTGGACATTTAGGTTGATTCCATGTCTTTGTAATTGTGAATAGTGCTGTAATGAACATATGTGTGCATGTGTTTTTATAACAGAATACTTTATATTCCTTTGGGTATATACCCAGGATTGGGATTCTTGGGTCAAATGTTATTTCTGTCTTTACATCTTTGAGGAATCACCACACCATCTTCCACAATGACTGAACTAATTTACACTCCCCCCAACAGTGTATAAGTGTTCCTTTTTCTCCACAACCTCACCAGCACCTGCTATTTTTTACTTTTATAATAGCCATTCTGATTGGTGTGAGATGATATCTCATTGTAGTTTTGACTTGAACTTCTCTAATGATTAATGACGTTGAGCCTTTTTATATGCTTGTTGGCCATGTGTATGTCTTATTTAGAGAAGTGTCTGTTCATGTCCTATGCCCATTTTCAAATGGTGGTGTTTCTTTTTTGCTTGTGAATTTGTTTAAGTTTGTTATACATTCTGGATAGTAGACTTTTGTCAGATACATAGTTTACAAATATTTTCTTCCATTCTGTAGGTTGTTTGCTTAGTCTGTTGATATCTTATTTTTCTGTGCAGAAACTCTTTAGTTTAATTAAGCCCCTTTTGTCTATTTTGATTTTGTTGCTATTGCCTTAGGAGACTTGGTCGTGAAATCTTTGCTAAGGCCTATGTCCAGAATGGCTAAGTTTTCTTCTAGGATTTTTTATAATTTTCTGTCTTACATTTAAATCTTTAATCTATTTTGAGTTATTTTTTGGAGAAAGAAAGGGATCCAGTTGCATTCTAATGCATATAATTAACCAGTTACTCCAGCACTATTTATTGGATAGCGAGTCCTTTTCTTCATTGCTTGTTATTACTGAATTTGTCAAAAATCAGATGATTGTAGGAGTGCAGATTTATTTCTGAGTTCTCTTACTTGTTGGTCTATGTGTCTGTTTTTGTACCAGTATGCTGTTTTGGTTACTGTAGCTCTGTAATACGGCCTGAAGTCAGGTAGCGTGATGCCTTAGGTTTTGTTCTTTTTGCTTAGGATTGCCTTGGCTATTCAGTCTCTTTTTTGGCTCCAAGTGAATTTTAGAATACTTTTTTCTAATTCTGTGAAAAATGATGTTGACAGTTTGATAGGGATAACATTGAATTCATAAATTGCTTTGGGAAGTATAGCCATTTTAATAATATTGATTGTTCCTATTCATGAGTATGGAATATTTTTCCCATTTGTCTGTGTCATCTCTGATTTCTTTCAGCAGCGTTTTGAAATTCTCATTGTAGAGCTCTTTTACCTTTCCGGATAGCTGTGTTCTTAGGTATTTCATTGTTTTTGTGGCTATTGTGAATGGGGTTGAATTCTTGATTTGGCTCTCAGCTTGGATGTTCTTGGTATATGGAAATGGTTCTTCAAAAGAATTAACAAGATTGAGAGACCACTAACTAGATTAACAAATATAAAAAGAGAGAAGATCCAAATAAACACAATTAGAAATGGCAAAGGGGTTATTACTACCAACCCCACAGAAATACAAAAACTCTCAGAGACTATTATTAACTCTTCTGTGAACACAAACTAGCAAACCTAGAAGAAATGAAAAAATTCCTGAAACATACAACCTCCTAAGATTGAACCAGGAATAAATTGAAATACTGAACAGATAAATAATCAGTTCTGAAACTGAATAAGCAGTTAAAAAAACCAACCAGAAAAATCCCTGGAGCAGATGGATTCACAGGCAAATTCAACCAGATATAGAATAACTAATACCAATCCTACTAAAACTATTCCAAAAATCGAGGAGGGACTCCTCCCTAACTCATACTATGAGGCCAGCATCATTCTGATATCCAAACCTAGCAGAGGAACGATAAAAAAGAAAAAGAAAAAGAAAACTTGGCTAGGTGCGGTGGCTCACGCCTGCAATCCCAGCACTTTGGGAGACTGAGGGGGGTGTATCACCTGAGGTCAGGAGTTTGAGACCAGCCTGGCTAATGTGGTGAAACCCTGTTTCTACTAAAAATACAAAAACTAGCCGGGCATGGTGTTGGACACCTGTGATCCCAGCTACTCAGGAGGCTGAGGCGGGAGAATCGCTTGAACCCAGGAGGCGGAGGTTGCAGTAAGCCGAGATTGGAACATTGCACTCCAGCCTGGGTGACAGAGCGAGACTCCTCCGAAAAAAAGAAAAAAAAACCTTCAACAAACTATGCATTCCTCAAAATAACAAGAACCATTTATGACAAGCCCATAGGCAACATCATACTGAATGGGCAAAAGCAGAAAGCATTTCCCATGAGAACCAGAACAAGACAAGGATGCCCACTCTCACCATTCCTATTTAATAAGATACTCGAAGTCCTAGGCAAAGAAATCAGGCAACAGAAAAAAATAATAGACATCCAAGTATGAAAACAGGAAGTCAAACTATCTCTATTTGCCAACTATGTGATTCTATACCTAGAAAAACCCTATAGTCTCTCCCCAAAGGCTCCTAGAACTGATAAATAAATTCAGCAAAGTTTCTGGATACAAAATCAATATAAAAAATTGGTAGCATTTCTAAATTCTTGACATACTATTAATAAAAGAGAAATTGGGGGTGCTCAACAAAAACATCAGAGGAAAACAAATAAATATTTGAAAATAATTTTGATTTTCTCAAAATAAAGAGAAGATTTTGTAATTAAAAGGCCGTGAGAGTTAGGAGAAAAAAATTAAAGGAGGAGGTAGAAGAAGCAGGCTCCAACTTTGAGAATTTAATCTAATCTCTACAATCCCTTCCAGCTATAAATTATAGCCACTCTTTGTTTAGGCTTATTTATTTATTTATTTATTTATTTATTGGAATTAAGAAGAGATCATTTCAAAGGGACTCCAAAAATTATATGGTTTAATTTAGTCAGGTTTAATTAGTAATGATAGTCAAACCTAATAATTCAAGCCATTGGTAATTCTTTAATTAGTAATGATGATCAAAGCAAATAGTTCAGTTCACTAGTTATTTGAGTCATTGTCAAGTCAAATGTTCTCTTATTTCTGTATCTTGTAGCTCTTGCTTTCAAACCCTATTGATGTACTGTGGTTGTTGTATCATCAAAGACCTGATGAAAAAAGAGACACAAGCAGGTAAACAGGCATTTTTCATTTCTCTCCTTAAGAAATTTAGCAGAGGAAATAAGAAAAAGATGAATGAAATCAAAGGTACTCGTTCTCTTTTATAAATGTCTGAGCTTACTAAAGACCTTGTTTGGACATTTGATAGGAGGAGCAACAACAATGCTCTGTGTGTGCTAGGAAAGGGATGTGAAAGATCAGAGTTAGAGGTCTGCTTAGGGAATCCCAGAAGGGACTCTTCCACTAAAGAGCCCCAGGGAAGTAGAAATACCTGAAAGGAGATGGCAAGACCCAGACAAACTAGACCCTAAGTCCAGGGTATCTCAGCCTCACCCAAGATTGTTGTAACTCAAATAACATCACACAGCATCAGATCCAGAGAATCATAAGATTCAGATCATAAGATTCAGTTCCAGATCCAAAGAATCATAAGATTTCAGAGATCAGATATTTCAGCACTATATCCTAAGGCTAGAGTTATTTCTCCATTGCTTGTCTTTGAGCAAAATCTTGGGACATGAGCACAACACTGTAGAGTTACTCTGATTATATTTAAAATTCAATAGTTTTGCTTCCATCACAACAAAATTCTTATTCAGAATCAGATTTAGGCTAATCGTGGAAAATAATAAATCTTTCCACCTCTGAGTTTGATTGGAAGGACTTACCTGTTACATAAGTTTTGTTTGTTTGTTTGTTTTGAGCTGGAATCTCACTCTGGCACCCAAACTGGAATGCAGTGGCACTATCTCGGCTCACAACAACCTCCACCTCCTGGGCTCCAGCGACTCTCCTGCCTCAGCCTCCTGAGTAGCTGGGATTACAGGCTCCTGCCACCGCGCTCAGCTAATTTTTATATTTTTAGTAGAGACGGGGTTTCACCATGTTGGCCAGGCTGGTCTTGAACTCCTGACCTGAGGCGACCCACCCCCCTCGGCCTCCCAAAGTACTGGGGTTACAGGCATAAGCCACCGTGCCTGGCCCTACACAGGTATTTTTACATAGATGCTTTAAATACATATTGATGGTTGGTTTTTGTTGTATATTACTTTTATGTCTATAATGTGGCCGCCAAGATTAATGACAATATATTCACTAACATATACGTGTGTTAATAATTGTGTTTAATTCTGGAGATAGCATAAAATAATCTTTGTAGAGCTCACAGTTAAATGAATTGGTTCCAACTCAAGGACTATCTTCTATCTGTTGATGGTGATTCCTGAGCTCTGTGTTGTTGTGAATTCTGGGCCTGTGCCTAGTAATTTTACCAGTACTTAAATTCATGCTAAGTTATTGATTAGTGATTTCTGTATGGATGGGAAAAGGAACACTAGCAGAATATGTTTTATTATAATTTATTTCCAGGCTAGCAGGTTCATGTTTCAGGTAGGAGGACAAATTATATTTATTATCAGTGTCCATCAAAATTCAAGATACGGTATCAAGCTTAGTAAACAGGTTGAAATATCAAATTCAGCATATAAGAACATGTAACTTGGAGCTTGATTTATGCATGCCTCAATTTCTTTATTTATAAGTGGGTCATGACAATGTACTAACTGGATAGTATGTGGGTTAAAGGTGATGATAAATTGCTTGTTCAATTCTTGATACATAGAAAGTGCTCAATAAATTATTATAATTCTATAAATAATTTGAAGATATATTGCTTTGACCTCCTTTCAGCCCTTTTTCTAAATCAGATGCAAGTGGTATTAGAAAATATTTGTTAATGTTTTACAAATGCCTCTTCAATATAGACATATCCTTTATTTAAAAGCCCAAACTGCAACATATTCAGCCATTCAAAACAATAATTATCGTAAGCACAGATTAGTAAACTAAGTTAACTGTATGATTAATTTCTTTCTTTTTTGTATTAATTATGTAATTATTTCTTCTGTGTGTACATGTAGCTCAATAGTAGTGCCTATGGTATGAATATTTGATTTCTAAAACGTACAGAAACCTTCTAGTCTTAGAGTTCACCTTCACTTTCCCTATTTTACAGAAGTTCACTCTTCAGCTCACATACATTGCTTTTTTTGTTGACCTTGTCGATTTATATTAAATACTGTTTTAAGTAGCATTTTTGTATGTGTGTGTGTGTGTGTGTGTGTGTGTGTGTCTAAACCTACTTAAACTGCTTATAGGTTTAACTAGCATTTGTGCGTATGTGTGTATGTGTGTGTGTGTGTGTGTGTGTGTCTAAACCTACTTAAATTGCTTATAGGTTAATCCCTGCTTTAGAACTTCAATTCTTGACATCTCATTTCTGAATTAGTTACTGTCATTTTGTCTGACCTTTTCAATCTCAGCAGTGTCCTTCCTATAAATACAGCAACAAGAATTAAACACAGTAGTCAGAATGCAGTCTTCCCACAAAGCACTGGTAGAATGACTATAGTCATTTTGCACTTTGAAGTAAGAATATCAAGTCCTTTTTACTCTATCCTTGACTTGTTTGTTTCCATTTTCTATATGCCTGGAACTAAGAAAGCCCTGTTTAAAATAAAACCATTTAAAAAGCATTGAAAATATTATGAATAGGGATAAGGGACCCTAATATTCAAGAATAGAAATTAGTTTAAGTTAGTATAAACTTAATTTTAAAACTCTCTGTTCCATTGCGCTCACATCATGGTGCTACATCACTGTCCCTCTCCTCATTAATCTCATATACCAAATCTTGTTTATTCCACATCAATCAGTGAAAACTTTCACTTTTTTATTAGACCCCCTGTTCACATCTGCTATTGGTAAAATCGGCAACCATCATGAAAACCTATCCATCATCTTTGCCTCTTGATTTCCTTATTCCGATGATGTCTCACTTTACTACATCTAATTCACCCACTTCTACAATCATGCTTTTTTATTACCAGAAACTCTACCATCTCTAAAATAATTAATTAAAACATTCCATTCTCTGCTGAAAACTCTCTTATGTTTGTTCCAGTACTTGAATCAAATGGTTCTTTAAACTTATTAAGACTTTATTCATTGGTCTTTTTAAATTCTTTCAATCAATGTGTCACTTTCTTTCAACACTTCCCTCTGTATGCAGGTTAGATTCTATAATTAACCAGTGTAATTATTCCCATACAGTACTTTAAACTGACTCCTTTCCTTCTGTTTTTCCAACTTGTGAAATAGCCTTTTGGGAATGCAACTGATTTCTGAAGAAAAATCATATATCCAAATAAATTAGCATCATCATGAATTCATGATTCATATCTTCAAAATAAAAATCTTTCAAGAATATCATTTCTGTACTAAAATTACCTTCCCACTTTCTGCTATATGTGTTTCCATTTTCTTTAAAGCCCCCACATTTCATACTTCATTGATAAAATAGAACATATACTCAAACAATTATTTCATAAACTTACCTCCCCCTACAAAGGTCTTCTCTTTCTTCCTACCTTTCAAAACAGAATAAATTTCCTTTATTGCACAGCTTAATCCCACCATATGCCTTCTTGTCATCTTAGAACCCTATCACAAGACAATTCTCCATGGATTTCTTATGTTTCTGCACATGGCAAATAGGGACATTGACACCATTTATTCTCTTTTATCTTTCTAAGATTATTTGTATAGTGAACATCCTTGAAAGATAGAATGGTGTCTGCTTTTGGGGCAGAGGGCAGATATTTTTGCCATCCAGTATAATAAAGATATCTTCCACTGTGACAAAGATTGGGCAGATTTACTTACTGCCTATTATAAAAGATTCAGGTTTCCTAAGCTAAATTTTCCTCACATGTGAGTTAAACTCATTGCATTCAGGATCAATCTGGGCCAACTTTCTTTTTTTTTTTAATTTTTGTATTTTTTTTATTATTATTATACTTTAAGTTTTAGGGTACATGGGCACAACGTGCAGGTTTGTTACATATGTATACATGTGCCATGTTGGTGTGCGGCACCCATTAACTCGTCATTTAGCATTAGGTATATCTCCTAATGCTGTCCCTCCACCCTCCCCCCACCCCACAACAGTCCCCGGTATGTGATGTTCTCCTTCCTGTGTCCATGTGTTCTCATTGTTCAATTCCCACCTATGAGTGAGAACATGTGGTGTTTGGTTTTTTTTGTCCTTGCGAAAGTTTGCTGAGAATGATGGTTTCCAGCTTCATCCATGTCCCTACAAAGGACATGAACTCATCATTTTTTATGGCCGCATAGTATTCCATGGCGTATATGTGCCATATTTTCTTAATCCAGTCTATCGTTGTTGGACATTTAGGTTGGTTCCAAGTCTTTGCTACTGTGAATAGTGCCGCAATAAACATACGTGTGCATGTGTCTTTATAGCAGCATGATTTATAATCCTTTGGGTATATACCCAGTAATGGGATGGCTGGGTCAAATGGTATTTCTAGTTCTAGTTCCCTGAGGAATCGCCACACTGACTTCCACAATGGTTGAACTAGTTTACAGTCCCACCAAGAGTGTAAAAGTGTTCCTATTTCTCCACATCCTCTCCAGCACCTGTTGTTTCCTGACTTTTTAATGATTGCCATTCTAACTGGGCCAATTTTCTTAACCCTCTAGAATTTTGTAGGAAAGAGGAATTGACATGAGTCTAAAGTTCAAACTTTCTGTTCCTGTGTGGTAAAGTCTTGTTTTTCTGATCTAATAGTCTGATATCTTTTCCAGCATCCATGAAACTGTGTCAGGCTAACATGTTGGCTTGCAAGGAAGTTAAAAATTATAGCCCTTCAATATTCTTGATAAGTTCTTGCTGTACTTTTCACTATCTTTTTATGACTATTTACCTTCTTTTCCATGAGATCATTTTCTTATATGTTTAACATGCTCTAGATTCATCTTTAAAATAGTTAAAATAATTTTTAATCATACCTATTCTGACTGGTGTGAGAGAGTATGTCATTGTGGTTTTGATTTGCATCTCTCTGATGATTATGAATACTGAGAATATTTTCACGTTTGTTGGCTACTGGTAAGTCTTTTGAGAAGTGTCTGCTCATGTCTTTTGCTCACTTTTTAATGTTTTTTTCTTTCCCTATTGATTTGTTTAAATTCCTCAAAGATTCTAGATATCAGTCCTTTGTCAGATACATAATTTGCAAATATTTTCTCTCATTCTATGGGTTGTCTACTTATTCTGTTGATAGTTGCTTTCTCTTTGTAGAAACTCTTTAGTTAATTAATTCTCATTTTTCTATTTTTTATTTTGTTGCATTTACTTGTGTGATCTTCATCATAAATTGTTTCTCTAGTCCAATGTTTGGAAGAGTATTTTCTAGAGTCTTCTTCTAGAATTTTTATAGTTTGAGGCCTCACATATAAGTCTTTAATCCATTTTGGGCTAATTTTTGTGCATGGTGAGATATTAGGTGTCCAGTTTCATTCCTCTCTATATGGTTGTCAGGGTTTTCCAGTACCATTTATTGAATAAGATATCTTTTTCTAATTGCTTATTTTTGTTAAGTTTGTGAAAGATCAGTTGGTTGTAGGTAGGTGGCTTTATTTCAGGAGTCTCTATTCTGCTCCATTGGTCTATGCATTTATTTTTGTAACTGTACCATGCTGTTTTATTTACTAAAGCCTTATAGTATAGTGTGAAGTTAGGTAGTGTGGTAACTCTGGCTTTGTTCTTTATGCTTAGGATTGCCTTAGCTAATGGGGCTCTTTTTTGGTTCCATATACATTTTAGAATAGTTTTTTTTCCTAATTCTGTAAAAAATGACATGGGCAATTTGATAGAAATAGTGTTGAATCTGTAGATTAGGCAGTGAGGACATTTTAATAATATTGATTCTTCCAACACATGAGCATTAATTGCTTTTCCTTTAGTTGTGTCATGCATGATTTCTTTAAGTGGTGTTTTGTAGTTATCCTTGTAGAGATCTTTGACCTCCTTGGTTAGATATATTGCTAGGTATTTTATTTTTCTATGACTGTAGTAAATGGGATTGCATACTTGATTTGGCTTTCAGCTTGGCTGTTATTGGTGTTACAGGAATGCAATTGATTTTCATACATTGGTTTTCTATCCTGAGACTTTCCCAAAGTCATTAATCAGGCCTATGAGTCTTTTGGTGAAATCTTTAGGGTTTTCTAGGTATAGAATCCTATTGTTGGCCAGGCACAGTGGCTCACGCCTGTAATCCAAGCACTTTGAGAAGCTGAGGAGGGCAGATCACCTGAGGTCAAGAGTTCAAGACCAGCCTGGCCAATGTGGCGAAACCTCGTCTCTACTAAAAGTACAAAAATTAGCTGGGCGTGGTGGTGGGCACCTGTAATCCCAGCAACTCTGGAGGCTGAGACAGGAGAATCCCTTGAACCCGGGAGGCGGAGGTTGCAGTGAGTCGAGATCGCACCATTGCACTCCAGCCTGGGCAACAAGAGCGAGACTCCATCTCAAAATAAACAAAAAATAATAAAAAAAGGAAAAAAATCATATTGTTAGCAAAGAGAGATAATTTGACTTCATTTTTTTTCCTATTTGGTTGCCTTTTATTAATTTCTCTTGCCCAATTTCTCTGGTTACCACTTCCAGTAGCATGTTGAATTGAAGTGGTGAAAGTGGACATTCTTTTATACTGTTGGTAGAAATGGAAATTAGTTCAGCCACTATAGAAATCATGTGAGATTTAGAGATTTCTCAGATTTAAAAATGAAAATATCATTTGACCCAGCAATTTCATGTGTTATTCTACCAAAAAGACACAGGCACTTGTATGTTCATCGCAATACTCACAATAGCAAAAACATGGAATCAACCCAGATGCCTATCAACAGTGGATTGGATAACGAAAGTGTGATACATATACACCATGAAATACTACACAGCCATAAAAAAACTCTGAGACCATGTCTTTTTCAGCAACATGGATGCAACTGGAGACTGTTATCCTAAGTGAACTAACACAGAAACAGAAAAGCAAATATTGTATGTTCTTGCTTATAAGTGGTAGGTAATTTTGAGTTCACACAGAAATAAAGAGAGGAACAATATTCACTGGGGGGACCAAAAAAAGGGAAGCAGAGAGGAGAGCAAGGCCTGAAAATCTTCCTATTGGGAACTCTGCTCACTGTCTGGGTGAGCGTCATGCAATACACCCATGTTACAAACCTACATATATACCCCCTGGATCAAAAATAAAAATAGAAATTTAAAAATATAAAAATAAAAAAATTAAAATGGGACTTCTAAAAAAATTAAAAAATTAGCCAAAATAAGACTAAAATCTTCCTTGACAACAAGTTTTCTTCCAGATCTTTTCCTATCTTTCAATTCCTTGTTAAAGATAGACTCTCTCTGTGCACTTCTCATGCATTTTTTCTTTCACAACACTGGTTTTGAATTATGCTCCTTTCAGGAAACATCCTGTAAAAATGGTAAGACACATCAATATTGTCTAAATATTGTGGAAGGCAAAGCCTTATAATTCTACCTCTCCTTGTAGCAATGAACATAGTTTTTAGAACTCCTTCTTTAAAATATTCTGTTTCTTGGCTCTCTTGATGCCATGCTTTCTTATTTCCCTTGTCTGACTCTTGGTGGTTATTTGCAGACTTCATTACTAAGTTTTCTACTCAATAGGACCTCCACACATCACGTTTTCTTAGGCTGTAGCCCTAAGTCTCTTTTTTGTCTCACCCTAAAATATGTACATAGATTATCTTTTTTGGTCACATAATGTGATGGTTAATTTTAGGGGTCAAATTGACTGGATTAAGGGATACCTACATAGCTGAAAAAGCATTATTTCTGGGTACATCTGTGAGGCTATTTCCACAGGAGATTGGCTTGTGAATCAGAGGCCTTCATGGGAAAGACCCACCTTTAATATGGGAATGGATCCAATCAGCTGGAGCCCCAGATAGAATAAAAAGGCAGAAAAAATCTAAATTTACTCTCTCTGTCTCTCCTGGAGCTGGGACATCCTTCTACTCCTTTGCTTGGACTTTAGAAATCCAGATTCTCTGGACCTTGGATTCAAGGACATGTACCAGACTTCACAACCCCACCAGGTTCTCAGGCCCTTGCCCTCAAGCTGAGAGTTACATCATCAGCTTCCCTGGTTCTGAGGTCTTGAGACTTGGAATAAGCCACAATACTGGCTTCCCTCGTTCTGCAGCTTGTAGACAGTGTATGGCAGGAAATTTCAGCTTTCTTAATTTTTTGAGTCAATTCCCGTAATAAATCACCTCGCATGTATCTATATAGATTTATATCCCATTGATTCTATCTTTCTGGAGAATCCTGACTAATACACATAGCTTTAATTGGCACAGGAAGTCCTCAACATCATCAGAACTACATATAGCAGGTCCTCGAATAACATAATTTTCTCCAACATCATCATTTCCTTAAACCCTTGATCAGAGAAAAAAAAACGATTTTGTTATACATTGTTTTCCTTAAGGTCACAGTTGCCAAGAACTAATCAATGACATTAAGTGAGGACTTACTATATTTCTATGTTAAGAAATATCAATGTCTCCCTTGAATTCCAGGCTAATATTTTATACTTTTTCTCACGTGCATCAAATAATTGACATGACCTGGCCCACCACTGCTTGGTAACCACCCACCATCATTTTTCACATTTCAGTAAATGACATCGACTCAAGCTAACTCACATGTTTGGGAGTTTTCTTTATGCCTCTGTTTGCCTGCTCGTATGCAATGCATTACCAAGCTCATCAGTTTTGCCTAAAAAATGTATCACCATCTGTCCATTATCATCCCATCACCATCTTAGTCTATACCGTCATATTTTTGTCTGTTATACTAAATACTAATCTCTTGCTTCTTAATTGGTCTTTACACTTGTGATCTAGCTATAATCTTTTCATTCCTTAAAATGTCACAATAATCTGGAAATATAAAAATATAAGTCACATAATCTGTCTTAAAAATGAAGGAAAAAACTGTAATAAACACCTATTGTGCTTTGGGCAGGGTTGCAAATTATAATCAGATCTGCAGTACCTGATACGATGTGACAATTGCATATCTTTACACCATTTCCTTCTAGGCCCTTTTTCTCTTCAGTTAGTGATGACAGCTTATTTAAGTTCTTTGAGATGTACAAACTCCTCTGCTATAGAAGTATTTTGATCTTTCTTCTTCTCTCTGCCTGAAATGCCCTTAACCTCATTCTTTACTTGGATAAATTCTTGTCCTTAAGATATCAGTTAAATTTCAGTAATAGCATGTTTATTTTAATTTCTTTCATAGTTCTTAGCACAATTTGCAATTGTATTCTATTTCTGTCTGTTTACTATATTGGTCATCTATTAAATTCTAACTTCAAAGCATGACCATTCATTCTTTGTCACCTCTTAAATCTAGAAGAATGCTTGGAATATAGTAGGTACTTAGTATGTTTAATATGTTTTGAAAATAAATGAATACATCTTTAGAAAGCTCAAGGTGCAAATAGATTTTTAATATTTAGAAGTTTACCATATTGTATTAAAACTAAAATTTTCCCAATTTATTATAATAAGATTTCAATTAACTTCCTAGGAAATTTTTCATCGATGCCAGCATAGAATGTTACTGAATAGTACCCTCAAAGGTAATTTGGTTTTGCTGAGGTTACTCAATTTTCTTAACTAAAGTGGTAGAATGATACTAGAATTGATTTTACTGTGTAGACATGGCTCAAGTTGATTACTAAGCAAGTTATATAATACTGTGAATTCCATCTATTCAGAGTTCAATCTAATCAAGCCACTTTCAACTTTTATTACTCAGTACATGAAGGTGAAATAATATTGTAAACATGGTAGACCAGAGAATCAGATGGAATCCTAGATGAAATAAATCATAGAAGATACAGAGCAAATAGGATCAGTTAAGATATAGTTCTATTCTGAGGCTCCACATGTCTTTCTTTTTACATAAACACTGAAAGTAAACATATATGTATGAAATTTAGTAACTAACATATCATAAATATAAATTTCAAAATGTTTCTGTACTAATTTCTATTAAGGCATTCAAGTTCATATTGAAGTAAAATATATACATGAAATAAAGACTATATCTTCATTAGAGGATAATTATTTTCTAAATAGAAGAAAATTGATTCCTATTTTTAATTTAAGGAAAAAGGGTAACTCTTTTCACTACTTAAATGCATTGTTTTGAATTATATATTTTAGTTTTAAATTTTGTATGAATTATATGAAATATCCCAATCATCACTTATTATAAATATAAGGAATCAAAATGCAATTTCTAAAACATTTTAGAATATTTCTATACAACTAAGAATCAGGTATGAGATGGCCAATTAAAACTAAGGAGATTTACTTACTGTAGCTGTCATTCATCAATAAGAATGGTATTAGGAATAGGAACACTCTTTTGGCTCATGTTTTTGTATTATTTTAAGATTCCTTGTTCTAAGCATAAGTTGGATTTGAGAATATATTTTTTGGCAGCCAATAAGGATGCTATCAGAGAAACATATAATCTAGTCATTACAAAAGTTTTGGAAAATAAATTGATAGGGATTAAAAGTGTAGGTAGATGGATGAGATTGGAGACTATTACTCTAAGTGAAGTAACTCAGGAATGGAAAACCAAACATCGTATGTTCTCACGGATATGTCGGAGGTAAGCTATGAGGTTGCAAAAGCATAAGAATGATGTAATGGACTTTGGGGACTTGGGAGGAAGAGTGGGAGGAGGGCAAAAGATAGAAGACTACAAATAGGGTGCAATGTATACTGCTTTGGTGATGGGTGCACCAACATCTCACAAATCACCACTAAAGAACTTACTCATGCAACCAAATACCACCTGTACCCCATTAACTTATGGAAAAATAAAAATGAAAATAAAATATATGTAGAAATTAGCTATTGAGTTTTTACTATGTAAAATTTTGGTTTTTATGGATTAAATATAATTAAAATGCAATTTTACTTTAAAAAATTAGACCACCACCACCCATCAACTACCAATTCCCCACCCCCCCAACTCTTTTTTTGAGACAGGGTCTTGCTCTGTCACCCATGCTGTAGTGCAGGAGCATGATCATGGCTCACTGCAGCCTCAACCTCCTGGGCTTTAGCGATCCTCCTACCTCAGCCTGAAGAGTAGGTAGGGCTACAAGTGTATGCCACCAGGCCCAGCTAGTTTTTAAAATGTTTTTGTAGAGACAGGGTCTTGCTATATTGTCCAGGCTGGTCTTGAACTCCTGGGCTTAGGTAATTCTCCCACTTTGGTCTCCCAAAGTGCTGAGATTACAGGTATGAGCCATGATGCCTGGCCAACCAATTCACTTTTCTTGCTCAAACTAAAGTTGCTGTTGTTTATAACATGTCCTGACACTATGGCCTATATCAGGACTTGTTCTCAGTTTCCATATCTAAAATCAGACAAAATTCTGGGATCAAATCCATGAATTGGACATGAGTTGAATAATGTTGAATGAGATGTTGTAGGGAATATAGCAATTGAAGATCTTGTGGTGTGGATACACATCACACACATAGACATACACATGTGTACACATACACACACACAAGAGCATACATATATTAATTCACCATTGGTATTGACAAGTTCTTGATGTGTGGCTTCTCTTCTTCCTTTTTCTGAATAGAAATTTTTATTTAACTTACTCTGCCCCCATTCTATCAGTGTTTATTAAGATGTGTTGGGCAGTGGGCAGAGAGCTTTTATCCCATAAAGAAGAACATCTGGACCTTATTGAGAACACTCAGCTGAGACTGCATATGCTGGGTTGGGCACAGCATCTGGATGGGGCTTTGGGTTATCTCCCATGGGGAAGGGTGAGGATGTATTGTTTGTATGGGAAGAAACATGTAGCACAAGTTCAGACTATGGCAGAAAATATTAGTTATTTCATGGTTGCACAGAAAGATTACATATCCTACTTTCTATTTAATTAGATATGTTTACTGATTCTTGCTATGGAATGTGAATGAAGTTAATATGCACCTTTTCCAGCCTGAGATATAAAGTCTCCCCAAGCACTTTTTTCCCTTGTAGATAGAACACCCAACACCCAGCAATATCTAGAAGTTACATGTTGAGGACAGTAGAATATCTACCAGTCTTGAATTCCTGGATAAGTGCACAGAGCCGCCTCACCTGACTGAATTGTAAACCCATTCAGCACTTTTACAGAAGCAAGCAATAAAATCCTATTGTGTTTAAGCCTTCATATATCTTAAATATATTTGAAATAACAGCTGGCATTATCCTCACTGTCTAGTTACTGATAACGAGAGAGAAAATTCAAGTAACTAATTAAATGAGTAGAATATATCAAACAATTTTAAATTCCTAAGAGTTGTCTTAACATAATTAATAAAGAAGCTCATATTAAGCACTATGATCAAGGAAAATTACCAAATATTACATACATTGTTCTTTTACCTTGAAGATACACATTTACAGATATAAATTCATATAATCATTCACAACCAGAATTATCTAGTAGGATAAAGAAAAACAAGAAATTCACATAACTGTCAATAATGTAATGAATTGTTTTTCTACATCATTGGTTTTCAACCCTGTCTTTTCATTAGAACCATGTGGAAAACTTTTAGACACACCGATTCCTAATAACAGGTTGTTATAATGCTTTAAAAGCTTCTAAAGAGAATCTGCTGTGCAGCCAGATTTGAGAACTATTGGACTCCACATCAAAAAACTCAGCAAGTTACAAGTTGTATGTCTTATTTTCATTCCTAAAATACGTTAACTACATGAATATTATGCAGTTTACTCATCACTCTCTTAGAGCTTCTTAAACAGAAGAATGAGTCAGGGTCTGCAACTTCCTATAAAAATATATATGTCTGATTTCATCTGTGAAAATTCTGATTCAATGGGTTCAGAATAGGGAGAGCTATAGCTAAGACTGTCTATCTTTTAATTTGCACCCATCCAGCGATGTGCTCTTTGATTCTAGTACATATTGATCAGTGTTTGAAATCATATAGAAAAAAATTTTTTAAAAAGAAAGATCTGCACTTTAAGCATTTGTCAATATGCCTTATACTCTTTTTCAATTTTCTTCTTCATATTCTCATACATCCTGCATGTTATGTCTGAAACTTCTCGAATCTGGAAACATCAAAAGCAGCAGCAGCAACTAGTCTAAAATGAAAATGTTAATGAAGCAGCACATGAATTGAAAAATAATTCTAACTACCATTTCTTCAGTTAAACCACTACTCTGACTGTATCAGAACCTTTCCTGCTTTGAAGAAAGAAGGAGTTAGAAGGATGCCTGAAAGTAATTACAAGAATAAGCTCTTTCCCAAAGAGAGAGAGCTTACCTCTGACAGATGAAAAGAAACCAGACTTCATGAAAGTCAATATTTTTATCATTGTTATACTTATTGTTCTGTTTTTTTTTTTGGGGGGGGAATAGATCTGTTCCATATGTAACTTGGTTTTTCTAATTGCTAATTCAAAAAATTCAAAAATTTCTGAATTTCCATAATATAATTCATCTTTCTAAACAACCTGAGGTACTACTCTATTTTATTGTTACTTATATAAAAGGAGAAAAACACGTGTTGTTTTCAAGATATACAAAATATTCAAGATGAATATTTAAAACTATTTTTAGAATCCCAACAACTATCTTACTCAATTTCTACCCACTGTAGAAAACCTTTTCATCTAACCATTGTGTACGTGGAACTTCTATTTGATTTAAACTCATTGTGGATCACTCAGGCCAATACTTTAAAAAAGTTCAGTTTCTCTACTTCCCAAGTTTTCTAGAAGTGACTAAATTTCACTGAATTAATAAGTGTCTCTCATTTATGGTCACCACCAATTATTATAAAACTATTGTAAATTATCTCTGCTTATTCTGAACCCAGAGCTAAAATGTTGTATCTGAAAATAAAATCCCTTGGAATTTATAACTGAAAATGATCAGATTTTTAAAATGGTGTTAAATTACATAATTGGGTTATAAAGCTTGAATATTATTCTAAGTGATATAATATTGACTTCAATATTTTGAGAATAGAATTTTAAATTTCTTCTAATTAATATTATGGTTATACTTAAATTACAAAGCACAGCCAAGTCTTCTGTTGGAGCTAAATGACTCCAAAGTAGGAAATAAGTTATCTTGAAGCTGAGGAAAAGGCAAGGTCTTATTGTGCGGGCCTATAATTACACATGTGCATATCTCTGTAAATTCAATCCCCAAACTTCCAAGGAAGATCATAAAGGAAGCATATCATTTTAAAAATAATTTATTGTAATTTTATTTATTTTTTATCCTGTATTTTAGAATCAGGGGTACATGTGCATGTTTGTTAAAAGTACAGTGCATGATGCTGAGGTTTGGAGCATGAATGAATCTGTCACCTAAGTGGTGAGCATAGTACCCAACAGGAGGTTTTTTCAACTTTTGCTCTTCTCCCTTCCTCCCACCTCTCACATCCCCAGAGCAAATTCAATGTAAGTATACAATTTCTTCTTTCTTTTTACAAAATATTTTGTTAAGACTTACATGAGGTCCTTGAAAATTGGTCTAATATTTGCTTTTAAAAACTAGATAACAGAGGCCGGGTGTGGTGGCTCACGCTTGTAATCACAGCACTTTGGGAGGCCAAGACGGGTGGATCACGAGGTCAGGAGATCGAGACCATCCTGCCTAATACGGTGAAACACTGTCTCTACTAAAAATACAAACAATTAGCCGGGCACAGTGGCGGGCGCCTGTAGTCCCAGCTACTCGGGAGGCTGAGGCAGGAGAATGGCATGAACCCAGGAGGCAGAGCTTGCAGTGAGCCGAGATAGCGCCACTGCACTCTGGCCTGAGCAAAAAAGCAAGACTCCGTCTCAAAAAAAAAAAAAACAAAAAAAACCAAAAAACAAAAACAGAACTAGATAACAGAAAGAACGTAAGCCACAAGAAAATATTTCTTGGGTGAACAGCCATTCTTCCTTAGTTTGTGCCCCCAATTCTTTATATCCATTTATAGAGAGAAAATTTGAAGATTATCTTACAAGCATCACTAGGCAAAGATCTCATTCCTCCTCTGAAGTAATACAACTCATGATCAAAATATACTTGCTTCATAATGTAACTAAATTGATCCATCATTAACAACAAATAGCAAGAGTCAGAAATCAAATTACATTTATTTTAATTCAGTAATCATTATGCGATGTAGTGCTCTAGATGTGGGGAAGTCTTCAGAGAGATATGAATATATATCCCTGTCCTTAAAGCTAAACAAATTTCCAAAATTGTTTTTATACCCATTTGTAACACAAACAATGGTCAATGTCTGGTTTAACTCTTGATCTCAATTAACTCTCAATCTTGTTATGATTGCAACAAGCATGATCATTCAATTAATATATTTGTCAAAGAACAATAGTAGGTATGTTAAAAGGTTTCCTAGGCTGTGATGTTTGTGTTTTGTTTCGTTTTAAAGGGGGGTATTTTCTATTTTTTATCTCTACAATTTAAAGCCATGTGCTTTGCATATATTAGAAACTTAATGACATGGTTTGACTCTGTGTCCCAAGACAAATCTCATGTTGAATTGTAATCCCCACAATACCCACCTGTTGAGGGAAGGGCCAGGTGGGAGATGATTGGATCATGAGGGCACCTACCCCCATGATTTTCTCATGATAATGAGTGAGTTCTTATGAGATCTGATGGTTTTATAAGGCAGATTTCCCTGCTCTTGCTCGCTGTCTCTCAGCTGCCACCATGTAAGATGTGCCTCTTCCCCTTTGGCCATGATTGTAAGTTTCCTGAGGCCTCCCCATTGACATGCAGAACTGTGAGTCAATTAAACCTCTTTTATTTATAAATTATCAGTCTCAGCTACTATCTTTACAGCAGTGTGACACCAGACTAATACACTTAATATGTGTTTTGTGAGTAATTTTTGAACACTATTGAGAATTATTTATGAGTAATATTAGGAATAAGTTCAAGGGAAAGAGATATTGCTACAAGCCAGAGCATGAAAGAGACGTTTAAAGAGTTCAAAATGTATTTATTTTCATGATGCTTTTAAGCTAATTTTAGTGAGTGTATTTAGTTCATCCTCACATTGCTATAAAGAAATACTTGAGACTGCATACTTTAT
Organism: Homo sapiens; assembly: GCF_000001405.40. Classification (NCBI taxonomy): domain Eukaryota; kingdom Metazoa; phylum Chordata; class Mammalia; order Primates; family Hominidae; genus Homo; species Homo sapiens. Next base: position 88,866,754 of record NC_000003.12, read on the forward strand.
AAAGAAAAGAGGCTTAATTGACTCGGTTCCACAGGCTGTATAGAAAACATGGCTGGGAAGGCCACAGAAAACTTACAATCATGGTGGAACGTGAAGGGAAAGCAGACAAGTCTTAGGTGGCTAGATAATGAGAAACAGAGAGAGCATGGGAAATTGCTGCACATTTTTAAAAACCAGAACTCATGAGAACTCAGTAACGTGAGAACAGCAAAAGGGAAATCTGGTCCCATGATCCAATCACCTCCCACCAGGCCCCTACTCCAACATTGGGGATTACAATTTGACATGAGATTTGGGTGGGGACACAAATCTCAACCATTTCAGTGAGTTTGAAATTTTACAGGATCAGAGGCATTAATGATATTCTGATGGAAGTTATTAATACTTTTGTCTGAAAAATACACATGTATATTCCCATGATACTTTTGTGTATAATTTCAGGGCCTCTTCTGAGAGCTGTAATTTCCTCCATGGATGCCTTCCTTGGATCCATGGGTTCTAGATGAAAAGGTCCTGGATCTTTTATCTGATATTTTTTAACCTCACCAGGTAAGAATACATATTCTCATCCTATACATGCATACATTTCCCTGTTAAAACCAATTGCAGTTGTTATATGGGTATCTATATTTGCTAAAATTCTTAAAACTGTATCCTCAAAGTTGGTGCCTTTTACTTAAAAGTTACATCAATAAAATTTATTAAAACTAGTTTTTAAACTCTATAAACATATCACAGAAAGTACTGCTCCCATAAAAAATAAAAAACATTTTCACTGATCTTGCATGTGACATCATGGCAAACTTTTAATTTCTATTAATAAAAAGTGGCACAGATTAACATGAAGGCATCCATATATCCCTGGCACTGAACTGAGAAGTGAAGACAATTTTGTACTTTACAAATATTTTGTATTACTCAGGGAGAAAAGTAGTCACAGAATGGCTTACATTATGTAATCTATAACCAGAGTCACATGAAAGAAAACTTGATATCTCTGGTCAAAAATCTTCTTTGTTATATTTTTGTGGAGAATTCCTCCAAATCCCCAATACTTTCCTTTTTCATGTGTAGACAAATTGTATCAAAATCTGGCAAACATTCTATTGTGTATATGTACTACATTTTCTTTATCCATTCTGCCAGTGATGGACACTTAGGTTGTTTCCATATCTTGGCTACTGTGAATAACACGGAAATGAACACGGGAGTGCAGTTATCTCTTTGACATACTGATATCTTCTGTGGATATATACCCAGCAATGGGGTTATTAGATTTGTGTTATAATTCTATTTTTATTTTTGTGGAACCTCCAAGAATAGATGTTTAACATATTAACCACAAAAAATAGGTTGGTGAGATGACAGATATATTAATTAGTTTAATTGACTCTTCTACATTGTATACATAGACAAAATATGTTGTACCCCATAAACCATACACAATTGTTATTCGTCAATTAAAAATAAATTTACTTTAAAAGTCCAGTGAAAATTATTATGACTTTTCATTGTCATGTGACCAACATGATCTATATAGTTGGCCAAGCTCCATTAAAAAAATGATATCAGCTTTTGTCTTGAACAGTTTGGATAATGTTTCTTTAAAAAACAAAAGAAGAAGCCAGGGAGGTTCAGTTACCCTAAGGAAACTGCGGTGAGTACCTACTCATCTTTACTTAAAATGCATACATGCCATCTATCAACCAACACCTTTTTCTCCAAATCTATGTTGACATACTGTAGTTCAAATATCAGTCATGTGGGAATATAGCTCTTGTGCTGCTCATGGTATGTGCGTGCTAGGACAATGTCAGGAATGGGGTAAGTAATGACACTGCAAATTGAAGGCATCTGCTTATTTTCCGTATGCCTGCACAGAGCAAGCATCTGCAAAAGAATTTTCCTCATGTTGCTTTGCCCATGACCTTGATCCAAAGAAACCCATCCTTCAAAGAGAAATGCAGAGTCATTTTATAGAATAACTATATGACTAGTTAATCTATCTTTTAGTCCTTTATAAATAATAGTATACTTTTGGAGTCCAGTATCTATCTATTAGCTCACAGGTGTTTTTAAATGCATTTTCTACATTGGTCAAGAGAAGATATGAAAGAACAACACATTAGTTCCCTATTTTATAGACACACTTAGTACCATATAAATCAAAGGGAATTTTGTGCATATATCTTAGAACAAACAAGATAAGCATATTGGTATTTCATAAATACTTGAGAAATTAAAGACATTGCCACTCTTTAGTGTACTGTAAATATCACAGGCAGAAATAAATATAGCTTATATCACCCAATCTTCACCCTTACATAGTCTTTTTAATATAAGAGTTCTGTGTTAGTCCATTCTCACACTGTTAATAAAGACATACCCAAGACTGGGTGATTTATAAAGGAAAGAGGTTTAATTGACTCACAGTTCAGCATGACTAGGGATGCCTCAGGAAACTTACAATCATAGTGGATGGGAAAGCAAACACGTTCTTCACATGGCAGCAAGAAGAAGTGCAGAGCAAAAGGGGGTAAAGCCCCTTACAAAACCATCAGATCTCATGAGAACTCACTATCATGAGAACAGGATGGGGGAACCATCCCCCAAGATACAATTATCTCCACCTGGTCCTTCCCATGACATGGGGATTATGGAAACTACAATTCAAGATAAGATTTGGGTGGGGACACAGCTAAACCATATAAGGCTCCAAATAATAACTAGTAGATAAACACCTAATTGTTGATCTGTGCACTTGTGTAACCAAATTGCTACCCCTATACTTATCCATACATTCTTTAACTAAAAACGAAGGATTACTCTATTTGTAAGTCACCGGAGCAGGGTAGGACCTTTGCATCAAGTACTTAGCTACATATTCTCATTGAATCTGTTCCAAAATGTATATGTATTATTTATTTTTGGAATTATAAACAATTTAAATGAGTAGTTTTGTGTTAATCACAGCATTTCTTACATTCCTAAATGAACAAAAACATTTTACCACCTTGAAAATTGTTTGGCATATTGTAGTATAAAAGGAAACACCAAACTAACTAAAAACAAATACACAGGGGGGAGGAGCCAAGATGGCTGAATAGGAACAGCTCTGGTCTACAGCTCCCAGCATGAGCGACGCAGAAGACGGGTGATTTCTGCATTTCCATCTGAGGTACCGGGTTCATCTCACTAGGGAGTGCCAGACAGTGGGCGCAGGCCAGTGGGTGTGCGCACCGTGCGCGAGCCAAAGCAGGGAGAGGCATTGCCTCACCTGGGAAGCGCAAGGGGTCAGGGAGTTCCCTTTCCGAGTCAAAGAAAGGGGTGACGGACGCACCTGGAAAATCGGGTCACTCCCACCCGAATATTGCGCTTTTCAGACCGGCTTAAAAAACGGCGCACCATGAGACTATATCCCACACCTGGTTCGGAGGGTCCTACACCCACGGAATCTCACTGATTGCTAGCACAGCAGTCTGAGATCAAACTGCAAGGCGGCAGCGAGGCTGGGGGAGGGGCGCCCGCCATTGCCCAGGCTTGCTTAGGTAAACAAAGCAGCCGGGAAGCTCGAACTTGGTGGAGCCCACCACAGCTCAAGGAGGCCTGCCTGCCTCTGTAGGCTCCACCTCTGGGGGCAGGGCACAGACAAACAAAAAGACAGCAGTAACCTCTGCAGACTTAAATGTCCCTGTCTGACAGCTTTGAAGAGAGCAGTGGTTCTCCCAGCACGCAGCTGGAGATCTGAGAACAGGCAGACTGCCTCCTCAAGTGGGTCCCTGACCCCTGACCCATGAGCAGCCTAACTGGGAGGCACCTCCCAGCAGCGGCACACTAACACCTCACATGGCAGGGTATTCCAACAGACCTGCAGCTCAGGGTCCTGTCTGTTAGAAGGAAAACTAACAAACAGAAAGGACATCCACACCGAAAACCCATCTGTACATCACCATCATCAAAGACCAAAAGTAGATAAAACCACAAAGATGGGGAAAAACCAGAACAGAAAAATTGGAAACTCTAAAATGCAGAGCACCTCTCCTCCTCCAAAGGAACACAGTTCCTCACCAGCAACGGAACAAAGCTGGATGGAGAATGACTTTGACGAGCTGAGAAGGAGGCTTCAGACGATCAAATTACTCTGAGCTACGGGAGGACATTCAAACCAAAGGCAAAGAAGTTGAAAATTTTGAAAAAAATTTAGAAGAATGTATAACTAGAATAACCAATACAGAGAAGTGCTTAAAGGAGCTGATGGAGCTGAAAACCAAGGCTCAAGAATTACATGAAGAATGCAGAAGCCTCAGGAGATGATGCGATCAACTGGAAGAAAGGGTATCAGCAATGGAAGATGAAATGAATGAAATGAAGTGAGAAGGGAAGTTTAGAGAAAAAAGAATAAAAAGAAATGAGCAAAGCCTCCAAGAAATATGGGACTATGTGAAAAGACCAAATCTACGTCTGATTGGTGTACCTGAAAGTGATGGGGAGAATGGAACCAAGTTGGAAAACACTCTGCAGGGTATTATCCAGGAGAACTTCCCCAATCTAGCAAGGCAGGCCAACGTTCACATTCAGGAAATACAGAGAACACCACAAAGATACTCCTTGAGAAGAGCAACTCCAAGACACATAATTGTCAGATTCACCAAAGTTGAAATGAAGGAAAAAATGTTGAGGGCAGCCAGAGAGAAAGGTCGGGTTACCCTCAAAGGGAAGCCCGTCAGACTAACAGCGGATCTCTCGGCAGAAACCCTACAAGCCAGAAGAGAGAGGGGGCCAATATTCAACATTCTTAAAGAAAAGAATTTTCAACCCAGAATTTCATATCCAGCCAAACTAAGCTTCATAAGTGAAGGAGAAATAAAATACTTTACAGACAAGCAAATGCTGAGAGATTTTGTCACCACCAGGCCTGCCCTAAAAGAGCTCCTGAAGGAAGCGCTAAACATGGAAAGGAACAACCGGTACCAGCCGCTGCAAACTCATGCCAAAATGTAAAGACCATGAAGACTAGGAAGAAACTGCATCAACTAACGAGCAAAATCACCAGCTAACATCATAATGACAGGATCAAATTAACACATAACAATATTAACTTTAAATTTAAATGCACTAAATGCTCCAATTAAAAGACACAGACTGGCAAATTGGATAAAGAGTCAAGACCCATCAGTGTGCTGTATTCAGGAAACCCATCTCACGTGCAGAGACACACATAGGCTCAAAATAAAAGGATGGAGGAAGATCTACCAAGCAAATGGAAAACAAAAAAAGGCAGGGGTTGCAATCCTAGTCTCTGATAAAACAGACTTTAAACCAACAAAGATCAAAAGAGACAAAGAAGGCCATTACATAATGGTAAAGGGATCAATTCAACAAGAAGAGCTAAGTATCCTAAATATATATGCACCCAATACAGGAGCACGCAGTTTCATAAAGCAAGTCCTGAGTGACCTACAAAGAGACTTAGACTCCCACACATTAATAATGGGAGACTTTAACACCCCACTGTCAACATTAGACAGATCAACGAGACAGAAAGTCAACAAGGATACCCAGGAATTGAACTCAGCTCTGCACCAAGCAGACCTAATAGACATCTACAGAACTCTCCACCCCAAATCAACAGAATATACATTTTTTTCAGCACCACACCACACCTATTCCAAAATTGACCACATAGTTGGAAGTAAAGCTCTCCTCAGCAAATGTAAAAGAACAGAAATTATAACAAACTATCTCTCAGACCACAGTGCAATCAAACTAGAACTCAGGATTAAGAATCTCACTTAAAGCCACTCAACTACATGGAAACTGAACAACCTGCTCCTGAATGACTACTGGGTACATAACGAAATGAAGGCAGAAATAAAGATGTTCTTTGAAACCAATGAGAACAAAGACACAACATACCAGAATCTCTGGGACGCATTCAAAGCAGTGTGTAGAGGGAAATTTATAGCACTAAATGCCCACAAGAGAAAGCAGGAAAGATCCAAAATGGACACCCTAACATCACAATTAAAAGAACTAGAAAAGCAAGAGCAAACACATTCAAAAGCTAGCAGAAGGCAAGAAATAACTAAAATCAGAGCAGAACTGAAGGAAATAGAGACACAAAAAACCCTTCAAAAAATTAATGAATCCAGGAGCTGGTTTTTTGAAAGGATCAACAAAATTGATAGACCACTAGCAAGACTAATAAAGAAAAAAAGAGAGAAGAATCAAATAGACACAATAAAAAATGATAAAGGGGATATCACCACCGATCCCACAGAAATACAAACTACCATCAGAGAATACTACAAACACCTCTACACAAACAAACTAGAAAATCTAGAAGCAATGGATACGTTCCTTGGCACATACACTCTCCCAAGACTAAACCAGGAAGAAGTTGAATCTCTGAATAGACCAATAACAGGAGCTGAAATTGTGGCAATAATCAATAATTTACCAACCAAAAAGAGTCCAGGACCAGATGGATTCACAGCCGAATTCTACCAGAGGTACAAGGGGGAGCTGGTACCACTCCTTCTGAAACTATTCCAATCAATAGAAAAAGAGGGAATCCTCCCTAACTCATTTTATGAGGCCAGCATCATTCTGATACCAAAGCCGGGCAGAGACACAACCAAAAAAGAGAATTTTAGACCAATATCCTTGATGAACATTGATGCAAAAATCCTCAATAAAATACTGGCAAACCGAATCCAGCAGCACATCAAAAAGCTTATCCACCATGATCAAGTGGGCTTCATCCCTGGGATGCCAGGCTGGTTCAATATACGCAAATCAATAAATGTAATCCAGCATATAAACAGAGCCAAAGACAAAAACCACATGATTATCTCAATAGATGCAGAAAAAGCCTTTGACAAAATTCAACAACTCTTCATGCTAAAAACTCTCAATAAATTAGGTATTGATGGGACGTATTTCATAATAATAAGAGCTATCTATGACAAACCCACAGCCAATATCATACTGAATGGGCAAAAACTGGAAGCATTCCCTTTGAAAACTGGCACAAGACAGGGATGCCCTCTCTCACCGCTCCTATTCAACATAGTGTTGGAAGTTCTGGCCAGGGCAATCAGGCAGGAGAAGGAAATAAAGTGTATTCAATTAGGAAAAGAGGAAGTCAAATTGTCCCTGTTTGCAGACGACATGATTGTATATCTAGAAAACCCCACTGTCTCAGCCCAAAATCTCCTTAAGCTGATAAGCAACTTCAGCAAAGACTCAGGATACAAAATCAATGTACAAAAATCACAAGCATTCTTATACACCAACAACAGACAAACAGAGAGCCAAATCATGAGTGAACTCCCATTCATAATTGCTTCAAAGAGAATAAAATACCTAGGAATCCAACTTACAAGGGATATGAAGGACCTCTTCAAGGAGAACTACAAACCACTGCTCAAGGAAATAAAAGAGGATACAAACAAATGGAGGAACAGTCCATGCTCATGGGCAGGAAGAATCAATATCGTGAAAATGGCCATACTGCCCAAGGTAATTTATACATTCAATGCCATCCCCATCAAGCTACCAATGACTTTCTTCACAGAATTGGAAAAAACTACTTTAAAGTTCATATGGAACCAAAAAAGAGCCCGCATCGCCAAGTCAATCCTAAGCCAAAAGAACAAAGCTGGAGGCATCACACTACCTGACTTCAAACTATACTACAAGGCTACAGTAACCAAAACAGCATGTTACTGGTACCAAAACAGAGCTATAGATCAATGGAACAGAACAGAGCCCTCAGAAATAACGCCGCATACCTACAACTATCTGATCTTTGGCAAACCTGAGAAAAACAAGCAATGGGGAAAGGATTCCCTATTTAATAAATGGTTCTGGGAAAACTGGCTAGCCATATGTAGAAAGCTGAAACTGGATCCCTTCCTTACACCTTATATAAAAATCAATTCAAGATGGATTAAAGACTTAAACGTTAGACCTAAAACCATAAAAACCCTAGAAGAAAACCTAGGCATTACCATTCAGGACATAGGCATGGGCAAGGACTTCATGTCCAAAACACCAAAAGCAATGGCAACAAAAGCCAAAATTGACAAATGAGATCTAATTCAACTAAAGAGCTTCTGCACAGCAAAAGAAACTACCATCAGAGTGAACAGGCAACCTGCAGAATGGGAGAAAATTTTTACAATCTACCCATCTGACAAAGGGCTAATATCCAGAATCTACAAAGAACTTAAACAAATTTACAAGAAAAAATCAAACAACCCCATCAGAAAGTGGGTGCTGGATATGAACAGACACTTCTCAAAAGAAGACATTTATGCAGCCAAAAAACACATGAAAAAATGCTCATCATCACTAGCCATCAGAGAAATGCAAATCAAAACCACTATGAGATACCATCTCACACCAGTTAGAATGGCAATCATTAAAAAGTCAGGAAACAACAGGTGCTGGAGAGGATGTGGAGAAATAGGAACACTTTTACACTCTTGGTGGGACTGTAAACTAGTTCAACCATTGTGGAAGTCAGTGTGGTGATTCCTCAGGGATCTAGAACTAGATGTACCATTTGACCCAGCCATCCCATTACTGGGTATATACCCAAATGACTATAAATCATGCTGCTATAAAGACACATGCACACGTATGTTTATTGCAGCATTATTCACAATAGCAAAGTCTTGGAACCAACCCAAATGTCCAACAACGATAGACTGGATTAAGAAAATGTGGCACATATAAACCATGGAATACTATGCAGCCATAAAAAATGATGAGTTCATGTCCTTTGTAGGGATATGGATGAAATTGGAAATCATCATTCTCAGTAAACTATCTGAAGAACAAAAAACCAAACACCGCATATTCTCACTCATAGGTGGGAATTGAACAATGAGATCACATGGACACAGGAAGGGGAATATCACACTCTGGGGACTGTGGTGGGGTGGGGGGAGGGGGGAGGGATAGCATTGGGAGATATACCTAATGCTAGATGATGAGTTAGTGGGTGCAGCGCACCAGCATGGCACATGTATACATATGTAACTAACCTGCACAATGTGCACATGTACCCTAAAACTTAAAGTATAATAATAATAAAAAAAATACACAAACAAAAAATAAAACACAGCTGTTCTCTTCTCCCATCTGTAAAGATCTATGTGATGACCTTGAGCAAGTCACTTGATCTCTTTAACTTTCATTTTTTTCCCTAGCTCACAAATGAAGATCTGGTCATTCCTAAGGTCATTTATAATGAAAAACTTGTTATCTATGATACATCACTATAGAGCTATAAATATTTATTTTCCAGTCATGGAGAATGAAAACAGAGGTTATGCTGTCCAATTTTCATGACAATATTTGAAGTGATTTTTTTTACTTGCTTATGGAAGCATCTAAAGGGTACTAACAACATATTTGGTCCTTTCTAGATGAATACCATCACTAGTATTATATCATCATCTTTTGACATTTTGACTTTGGAAGATTTCTTTCCAGAATGATTTGACAGTTCAACAGGAAGTATATAGTTTCTTGGTATTTGAATATATGCTTGATACACTGAATACACACACGCATACACACAAATATCTTTATTACATTGCAGTGTTTTCACTTGACATATCAACTCTTATTTTTTGTATTATGTCCCCTTAACCTTCAGTAACTGGGAATGTCTGACCTCCACAAAATGTAAGAAGTTGCCTTGTTGCTAATCCTCTGGCCAGTTTTTGAAATTAGATAGAAATGATGCCTACCTCCTAAGTTTTAAAGCGGCACAATTTCCGGTAACCATCATAAATACTAGGTGGAATTGTCCATCCTTGTGGATTCCAAGTATACATAGATATTTCTCAAAGGATCAGGAGATTCTTATCTTACTGGTATTTAAAGCACCCATACCCTGTCAAGAAAAAAAAAAGATTACAGACATGAGGATACTACTCTAGCATTTCTACCTTGTCAGCTTCGCCTATCAAATAACCAAATAAACTCACCACTTATGATTTCTTTATAGCTATTAATTTTCCTGGAAGTGCATCATACTGGAAATACACTAAAAACATGTAGAATAGACCAATTCAGCATTGTTCTGCCTAGTGACATGATTCCTTTAAGTATCTCCGTCAGGGCTTGGTACGCAGTCCTTCACGTAGGAGTGGTTCTGTGTATGCCATTCCTACATGACATGACATGCCAGAACACCATGTCATTTGTTCCCACTTACTCTGACTATACTGTATTATAATCCTTTTTCATATAAGTTCCCTCAGAGGAAATTTTTTATTGCTCTCAGATATTTCAGCAACCTGGAGCATTTCCCTGCCTTTAGTCTACCACTGATCAGTGGATGCTAGTTTTTGAAGAGATGTACACAAATAGACCTCATAATTAGCTACATCATAAGACTGATTTATTTAAACTGTAAGACAAGCTTCTTTTTTAAAGTTTTCATTTACTTGACAAATATTGGAAATTCTTCACCAGAAGGAAAAAAGTAATAAAAATTTATGAAGGAAAATCTATCACTTACTGAAATCATTCATTCTAGAATCAGCTCACTAATAAATGAAGGAGACAGGAAATATCTCAACACTTTACATCCCAAGAATTGTCATTTGTAAGGGACACTGATGAGAAATTCTTCCTGCAATAAACTATTGATCTCACTGGTCATAATGATATAAAGAACATGATGTTAGAACAAGAACATCTAAGTGTCTGCATCTAAGTGTCTGTTTTTTTCTGCTAATACAGTCACATCGATTATGTTTGTTTCTAGGAGAGGGAAAAGGACATTATCCTAAGTCTTTTCCAATAGCCTTTATATCCACATAATGTTCAACTTGCTAAAATATAGGATAAGTGAAATAAAAATCAGAAACATACTAAGAGTGTTGCAAACAGCAACACACTATCAGAAGCCTTAAACTCCAACAAGTATTTAATTTAAAACCAATTTCCAATCTAAACTGATCTTAAAAGTAAAAACCAATGCATGTCAGTGATTTCCTAGGTTTCTCTTTCATGAAGTGGAAAGCTTGCCAGAAAAAAATGGCTTTTTTCCTCAGATAATTGGCTTAATAATTTTAAGTACCTATATATTTTTCTAGTCAATCGACCTGTATTTTTAATACTAATATTTCATCTTTAAAGTTTGTTTTCCTCTGATTTTTTAATATTTGAGCATTCTTTGTTGGTTCTACTTTAAGTTTTCCAGATTCGTCCCCTTGGTAGGAAATTACAAGAAAAAGTTGAATTAAAAATCTCTCTCTCTCACTCTCTCTCTCTCACACACACACACACACACACACACACACACACACACACAGAGGAGGGAAAGGAGGGGAAGGGAGAGAAGTAAAATACATAAAGAGAAACAAAGAGAGAGAAAGAAAATGAGAAACTACTATGTGCTTACTAAGTGACAGACGTATGTGGTTATTTTTGAAAACCTGAAGAACTGCTCTACTCTAGTAAGTGGGTGAGAGAATTAATTCTAAAATGAAAAAAACTTCAAATGAAACTTTGCCCCAGCTACTTACTGGCTTTCTTATTTTAGGCTTATGAATTTTAGATTTGATAGTACTTACCTCATAGCTAGTGTCATTGGTAGAATTATTTGAGTTTATTAAAGTGTTTAACATAACATGTGGCCCAATAAAAGCCTTAATAAATGTTGGCTCTCATGAAGACATCATGACTCCCCCTAAAAGAATTCATAGTCAAAAGAGGGACAGACAAATGAACAGAAAACACTAATAAAATCTGTTCAAAGCTAAATTAGGCTTATGCCCAGGATGCTGTGCAAAGTAGCCCAGGGGGCTCAGCTGTGCAGAGAAGTGGCTTGCAGAAACAACCAAGCTGATTTTTATAGAATAGCAGTGTGAAACACCTTGTGGTGTGTGCCACAATTCACAAGCAAGTTAAAGCATATTGTGCTTCTAAAAGGTTTTCCCAAAGTAGAAGTGTTTTTATATTCCCTCAAAGTCTTCAAGCATAATTGGAAAACACAAAATTTCTTTAAAAGAGTCTATATAGTGCAGTAATGAGGAGAGTGTGTCTGGTTTCAAACACACCTATACCCAAGCCTGTCTCTGCCATGTAGTAACCACTGGTAAATAACTTGTCCTTTCTCACCTCAGGATCTTCATCAGAAACAAGGACATTATATAAGCATTCTTTGGGATAGTAGGAATTAAATAAGTTAATGCTCGCAGAGTCCTTAGTAGTGCCTATCATATAGTATGTGCTCAATACATATGAAACCTGTTATATGTCTTTGCAGTTTGGTATACAGTCTTAACATTTATATCCATTTTCTACTATTATATTCTCATGTACTTTTAATTCCCATTTCAGTTACTTAGAATTGAGAAAAATTGAGTTTTAAGATGCTACACTGTTTAATCATACTTCCTAGAAAGAAACATTGTTCATTTATCCTTTTATTTAATACTTACTTATTATATGCCTCCTTTAGGACAGATACTGAGATAAATGCTGTGAATACAATGAGGATAAAAAGATGAACTTATAGCCCAGTAGGGAAAGTAGGCATTAATCAAATAATCACACTAATAAATGCATAATTTCAAACTGAGGCAAATTATCTGAAAGCAATCATGTTAATGGATGTGTAAATGCTTATTAGGAAAGTTGGAAGAACAAAATAAAGAAGACTGACTTAGATGAGGGAAAAATGGTGATCAGAGCAGGTCTGAATAGGAGAACTGTATGAAAAATGAGTGAACTGCCCCAAATCAGTGGGAGAAATTAGTGGTCCGGCAAAGGGAATAGAAAATGTACAGGATTTTGTCAGCTAAGTAAAAGCACAATATCTTCACAGAACAAAAGAAGGGTAGGTTAGTTGAAACAGGGTAATTAAGAAGGAGAGGAACATGAGATGGAGTTTAGGCATGGACAGCAAGCACCACCATACTGAGCATTGGATGCCCTTTTATGGACTTGAATTTATATCTGAAGAGCAACAGAATGAAACTACAGGATTCTAAGTAGCAGTGGTAACATAAGATTTTCATTGTGGGAAATAAAGGATGAAAAGAAGGACCAGAGAGAAGGTAGGGGGAAACTCAAATATGATGTCTTAGTCCAGGCCCTCAGAGAAGCAGAGATTAGATATGCAGGAAAATGTGGAGAAGCCTGGGAGTCATTGGATCACCACACAGGTCTGACCTTTGTGAGGGAGAGAGGGAAGGAAAAAATCTGAGTGGAAAAGTCTTAGGTGGCATTTCGACATGAATAATGGGAAGCTCTGGAGTTTACTTTCAGGTGAATCCGTTGTCTTTCAGGAACGGGCCTACACATGCAGTCCCTGTAGTACTTAGTCACTGCCTGGCAGCAGTCCCTGGGATGTTTAGCCTAAGTATGGATGGGGTAATAGATTTTGGGGTGCAGCAACTGGGACTGTGGTAGGTTGTGTTCTTTGTACTTAGTAATAGGAGTGCTGAAAGATTCAATTTCATGGAGGCTATGTACTGTGTTGACTCTGAAGACAGAAAGTAGACCAAAATGATCAAGATTTAAGAATAAAAGTCAACATCAATATATAATTTCTTAAGAAAGGTTGATAATTTATCAGAGCAGTCTTCCCTGGCAACCCAAATTATAAAGCACTCTCTTCTCATATATATTCCTATTCTCTTATTGAGTTTTATTTAAGGAACTGGCATTTACCAACTGATCACATTATATTTTTGTTTTAATTCTTTAAGTCTGTCTGTCTATACTCCCCTACTATAATATAAACCTAATAATTGCAAGGAACTTCCTTGGATTGAACTGCTGTTTTTCCAGCAACTCAAATAGTGTTGCCATTTAAGATATATGTGTTGGAAAATTAATGGCAGTGGGGAAGGTGTTAAGGATGACAGAATATATTGTCGAAGAAGACTTCCAGGTTTAAGGCATGTGAAGCTTAATGGATGGTGGTTAGTTACTGTTGAAATGCACACTGGAAATCTCGGGCAGGTGGGACAGAAAACAACAAGTTTTTATTTGTACCTGTTGAGTATGGAATTCCTCTAAGACATCCAAATGGAGCTTGTAAATTCCCTAATAAACAAAATGTTATAGTACAAAAATTTTTTTGTGGGTAATGTAAGAGTGCAAGTGTAAGTACAGGTTAGATCCGGTTGTGAAGACCATTCTATAATAGACTAAAGAGTTGAAATCTGAGAATTGTACTTCAAAATCAACATATATTCATCAAGACTCTGTTAAGAGATGATTGAAGAGATTAACATATCGGAAAGATAATATTTGAAGAGAGATAGGTCAGTCATGAAAACAGAGAAAATATGGAAGTATAGAAGTAAAAGGCCCCAATATCCATTTGAACACACAGGGAAGGCACTGGGTCTTTAAAATCATGTTTCCTTGGTAGGCTCTTCCTTCTATGAAATAGTTAAATAAATTTATGCCAACAAATAATATTAAATATTGGATTCATCAAACTCCCTTAATTCTGATTTCATGATTATTAAGTTGTCTTCTGACATTTTTCACATTGGTCTGCCTGTCAGAAAAATAAAGTCATTTAATAGCAATATCTCATTATAAATCAATAATCTGGGATTGTGGTTTCACATAAAAATCTCTTGGACTCAGTGTATGCCTCTTGCCCACCCATTCCTGATAAAGGTATTAACTCAGTTCAGATTACATTAACAAAGCCCAGTTCCTGAGCATCCAAGGCTCAAGGGCAGATCCAGGACTGGACAAATTTATCAAAGTACCAAAATGCCACCCTGAGCATTCTTTGGAGTCAGCCTACTAGCCACAGTTTATGGTGACAAAATCTGGACATTGTTGGTGCCTTTGGGGGAAAAAAACTTCAAATATGATGCCAGATTAAATAGCAGTTGACTTGTCTCCAAAGTTGACTTGTCTTGTTTTTACCCTAAGAAGTGAAATAATTTTGTCCCTTTAGGAACAAAAAGGAGTGCAAGGCAATTGTTGTTTAATTGTGGGCTATGAAATGAATATGAACATGAATTCAATCATGGACCATCCATTTTACAGGCATGTGACATCAGGCAACTTGCTTTATGTCTCTGTCTCCAAATGTTCGTGTTGTTAAGATGGAGGTAACAATACTTACTATACAAGACTGCTATGAAAAACATATGACCTAATGTAATGTGAAATGCATTAGCAGATAGTAAATGCACCACAAAGAGTATTAGGACATTATGAATGTATAGAAATCCTGGAATGGAAAAAAAATACAAAAATGTACTCTTCCTTATTTCCCACTTGATTTTGGTAGGGAAATACATACTTCCTGTCCACTAGTTAACCTCCCTTTGGCAAGTTATGTTATGTTGTTAATTAATTAATTAAAAGGCTATATATATATATATGTATATATACCAAAAAATGTCTGTAATTGCTGTAATGTACCCTTATACAGGCAGACCTCACTTTTCACGGTGCTGTGTTAAGAGAGATTCATGCACATCAGAGCCATGCAAAGCAAAGTCATTGCTACTCTATGTAGAAGTTTCAGTTACCATGGTTAAGTGATCATGAGGACTGCCTACAACATAGTAGCCCATGAATCATTAACAGCTGTGACCATAATTACTCTTTTGCTCTTTCATATACTTTAAGAACAGAAAACCAAACACTGCATGTTCTCACTCATAAGTAGGAGGTGAACAATGTGAACACATGGACACAGGGAGGGGAATATCGCACACTGGGGCCTGTTGGAGGATCAGAACTAGGGGAGGGATATCATTAGGAGAAATATCTGATGTTAATGACGAGTTGACGGGTGCAGGAAACAACCATGGCACATGTATACCTATGTAACAAACCTGCACATTCTCCACATGTATCCCAGAACTTAAAGTATAATAATAATAATAAAATCATCATACATATGAGTAAGGTCTGAAATAAAATAATGGCAAATTGTTGGTATTTGTCAAAAAAATCAGCTAGAAAAAATGAATAAAACCTAGTATTTGTTAGCACAATAATGTGCTATAGTCAATAATGATTTAATTGTACATTTTGAAGTAACTAAAAGAGTATAATTGGGCTGTCTGTAACATAAAGGATGCTTGAGGGGATACCCCATTTTCAATGATGTGATTATTACACATTTCATGTCTATATCAAAACATGTCATGTACCCCATAAATATACACACGTACTATGTACCCACAAAAATCAAAATAAAAAAATACTTCAAAACTCATGGAATCAAGCATTCTAATATACCAGTAACTGGAATCTTAGAAGAAGAGGAGAGAGAGAAAAAGGAACCCAATTTTTTTAATTAAGAAAAAGAGTTTTATGCAGCCATAAAAAAGAATGAGCTCATGTCGTATTATGCGGCCATAAAAAAGAATGAGTTCACGTCCTTTATAGGGACATGGATGAAGCTGGAAGCCATCATTCTTAGCAAAGTAACACAGCAACAGAAAACCAAACACTGTATGTTCTCACTCATAAGTGGGAGTTGAACAATGAGAACACATGGACACAGGGAGAGGAACATCACACAATGGGGCCTGTCAGGGTGTGGAGGGCAAGGTGAAGGAAAGCATTAGGACAAATACCTAATGCATGTAGGGTTAAAACCTAGATGACAGGTTGATAGGTGCAGCAAACCACCATGGCACATGTATACCTATGTAACAAACCTGCACATTCTGCACATGTATCCCAGAACTTAAAGTAAAAATTGAAACAATTTAAAAAAGGAAATAACAAGTAATATCAATTGCATAGCTCTTAACCTTCAGTAATTATGTCATTTGTAATTAAATGCCTTTTTCATTAGTCATATTATTATATTCTGTAGCTGGTTTCTATTACATAATTGTTTATCTTCAATAAATATATTTTAATAAAAAGAATATGACATTAATAAATATAATATTGTTCAGTTTTCTATTTATATGTGGTGGTTGCTGTTTGGCAGAGAAAATGCATGGAGACGATGTTCTCCAAAGTGAATCCATCATTTTTTTCCCCAAACTTGCTCTTCTTTCTTTATTCATTATTAAATAACTTAATGTCCTCCTCATTATAAGATGTAAATCCTTGCAATTATCTTTACCTTTTTTCTTTGTTAGCCTCATATCCAGTGGGTGGTTAAGCACCTAAATTTCTGGCATTGTGCTGTCTGTCACAGCTGTTCTTTTTCCTTTATTTTTATTGTTTCACAAGAGATTAGACTATCATTAATTTTCCCCTGGATGACTGCATAGTTTTCTACCTAGTCTGCTCTTTTTTTCCTCAAATAACATAAGCGCTATGCTTACTAATTAATTTTCTTAATACACAACTGTAATCATGCCATTTCTCTGCTCACAAGACCAAAACCAGACAATATTTGCATTCAAGTTCCTCCCCAGACCAGGCCTCAAATTACCTTTTCTATCCCCACAGTTTACATCATTTCTCTAACTCTATATTCATCATAAATTGAAGCAACATGGATTAACTGTATATTGACCTTAAATTTAAGGAACATGTTTTAACTCTATATTCACCCTAAATTTAAGCAATATGGAACAATTGACTTTTGTACTTTTGTTTCATCTAAGAGAAATAACTACCTTCATTTTCCCCACTTTCGTTCCTCACACTCATGTCCCATATTCTACACAATCTCTAAATGCTAACATTTTCTCTACTTTTCAAGACCAAATGACAATGTCACTCACTCCACAAACTATCCAACTCATAAAGCTAGATGTTCTCTCTCCTCCCTCAGCATCCCGCCTCTCTTGATTTTTAAACTTCTTATGACAGGCATATTTTCCATTTCCTATAGTTATTTGTGAATGCAGTAGGCCTCCAACTATCCTAGAATATTCACAAATAGGGAATCTGTATCTGTTTTGCTTGTGCTCTCCTTTTGTATTGTACACTCAGTTACTTGTATAGAAAAATTACACACCAAACACTTTTATTGTAGCAAGATAAATTGACAATAGATGTGTTCATCCTTTAAACATTTTAAGGATCCGTATAAGTGCAGCTACATAAGCTCAATACTGTTTGTTATGAATGCTCATTGGTATAATTAGGCCCTCTAAGAAAAATAAATGAAATCGTAGTAACATTTTCATAAAAAAAGAAACAATTACAAGGGATATGATCCTCAAAGGACTGTCTAATTGTGCCTATTTCTATTTCTTTTACTCTTCATGCCGAGAAGGAGTTTTTAAAATTTCAACTCAGTCTTATTCTTTAGAGGAAAGATACTAGAACAAAATCCACTTAAACTCTCAGTTGCTATCGAGTTTAAAATCATTTCATTTAAATATACTTAGAATTTCACATAGCAAACACATTAAGAGGATTATGTTTTCCTTCAAAGTAAGCTCATCTCCTTCAGGGCAGAACCAATAATCAACTACCATGGCATTTGAGCTTACTAAATTTAGACCTTATTAAGGAGGTCCATTTAATTTTTTTGAAGATTTACTTTCTGTGAGGAAATCACATATACCATTTTATGTCATTTGGGAATTATAGCATCAAGAATACCATTGCAGACTAACAGAGAAAACTTTCCATTTCTTTTTTTTTTCAAACTGTGAAGCACATAGTCCAAGTTGTATTACACTCCTTTGATGTAAAACCTTAATACTTGCATTTGGGATTCTGATGATGTGTCAGGAAACTTTTTTACTCTCAGTAACCAACGTTGGTCAAGAATAATGGGGAGAGTTATTTAGACAACATTCCTTACTGAAGTCTGGCCCAGGGAGACATAAATGTAAGAGGATATAGGACAGAGTTTGCCGTTGATTTCGTGGAACCAGCAGAGAATTCCACATGGTTTTAGAAAGAGAAATTATCTTTATCAATTTAAACCAAGTACAGTACATTCATATCCAAATAATATTTTTTGCCAAGCAAAGTTGAATATTGTAATCAAATCAATAGAATATATCAAACTAACCAAAAAAGACCTTTGAACATTTGAATAATAACCTCCAGGATAAATTAATATTTTGGAGAAAACGTGATATTGTATTTTAAACCTAAGCAATATTTTCCAAAGGAATGTAAAATCATTTTATTTATTTGATTTCATCTTTTTTTTTTTTTTTGCAGTTGCAAGATTTAATAGAGTGAAAACAGAGCTCCCATACAAAGGGAGGGGACCCAAAGGGGGTTGCCGTTGCCGGCTTAAATGCCTGGGTTTATATCCAGATCCTTGTCCCTCCCGCTGTGCTCTCAGGCAATAGATTGGCTATTTCTTTACCTCCTGTTTTTGCCTAATTAGCATTTTAGTGAGCTCTCTGATTGGTTGGGTGTGAGCTAAGTTGCAAGCCCCCTGTTTAAAGGTGAATGCGGTCACCTTCCCAGCTAGGCTTAGGGATTCTTAGAGTGCCTAGGAAATCCAGCTAGTCCCGTCTCTCAGTCCCCCCCGTCAACAGGAAAACCCAAGTGCTGTTGGGGAGGTTCACCGACGACCGCTGTAACTGCTTCTTGCTGAACTGGGGTGTAGTAGAGGTTGTGCAGTTGAGATTTCCTCAGGAGGGGCGCCTTTGATGTCATTAACATCAGAGCATGGGCTAGCAGGCCAGTCCAGGGGTCCGCGGTAGATCTTAGTCATAGACTGCATCTGGGGCTCCGTTGGAAGAATGATTGGTAGTTTTGCAGCTTTGATTCTGGAAGAGACAAATGCTTTGGAGGTCCCTTCGTGGTCACCAAAATGTTACTGGAGGTCCTTGTTCACAGAGCTTCCAAGATGGTGGCGAGCCACTTCCAAGATGGTGGCAAGCCTCCTGTTCTCTGGCCTGGGCTTCTTGGCCTCACAGATTCCAAGGAATGGAATCTTGGGCCATGCAGTGAGTGTTATAGCTCTATTAGAAGCTGTGGGTCACGGAAGAGAACTGTGGAACCCAGTGACTAGTGTTCAGCTTGATTAAGAGGAACCCGGGCACTTTGCCATGCAGGAACAATGGCAAGCTTTTAGCCCAATCGGGAGTGGCAATGGGCGCCTCACTGGATCAGGAGCACAGCAGACACCCTGCCGGATCCAGAGGGGTGGAAGTCAGCAGCAAGTCTGCTGCGGCGCGTCCGCCACGGCGGCAAACAGCAATGGTGGACTGCAAGCGACAGCTCAGCTCCAGCAGTAACAAACATGGATCAGAAGAGTGCAGTTGCAAGATTTAATAGAGTGAAATAGAGTGAAAATGGAGCTCTCACACAAAGGGAGGGGATCCAAAGGGGTTTGCCCTATTTGATTTCATTTTATGCATTTGTCATTGATTATTTTGTGCAGAAAAGTGATGTAACACGGTGGACTTTGAATTTAGAATACCTGAGTGTACTTGTTTCTCCACTAATTGTGTGCACTTTGGGCAAGCTTCTATGACTCTATGCACCTCTGTTTTCACTCTGAAGCCTTCTATAAATATTGCTTTTTTTTTTAGGCAATTCTTATTAACCTACTTTTATGTGTTTGTCAAATTATTAGAAAATAAGATGAATCTCAACTCTTGAGATTTTAAAAACAGTACTGAGATGCATCAGTTTATCTTTGTGTAGTATGAAAATGTTATAACCTAAATTGTCTCCCCACAAAATTCATGGTAAAGTCCTAAGCCTGAATTTTGCTACAGGCATACTTGTTTTATTCAGCATCACTTAACTGCATTTTGCAGATATTGCATTTTTTTTTGTAATTGAAGTTATGTGGTAACTCTGGATACAACAAGTCTGTCCAACAGCATGTGGTCTCTGTGATACATTTTGGTAATTCTTGGAATATTTCAAACTATTTATTTATTATTTTATGTGTTATAGTGATCTTGATGTTACTATTGTAATTATTTGAAGGTGTCATGAATCATGTCCATATAAGATGACAAATTTAATCAATAAATATGTGTACTCTGAATGCTTCACCATGTTCCATTTCTCCATATTTGAGCCTCCACATTTGCTGAGATGCAATGTTGAAATTAGGACAATTAATAACTCGATGATTACCTGTAAAGTGTTCAAATCAAATGAAAAGTCACACATTTCTCATTTTAAATCAAAAGCTAGACATGATTCAGCTTAGTGAAGAAGGCACGTGAAAAGTTGAGATAGGATGAAAGGAGGACTCTTGTACCAGTTAGCCAAGTTGTGAATGTAAAGGAAAGGTTCTAGAAGGAAATTAAATTTGCACAAAGCTTCATTAAGTTCTGGAAGGAAAAACAAGTAAATGATAAGTGAACAGCCTTATTGATGATATTAAGAAAGTTTTAATATTCTCAATGGACGATCAAACCAGCCACAACATACTCTTAAGCCAAAGCCTAATCCAGAACAAAATTCTAACTCTCTTCAACTCTATGAAGACTGAGAGTGGTGAGGAAGCTGCAGAAAAATATGTTTGAAGCTAACAGAGGTTTAAGGAAAGAAGCTGTCTCTGTAACATTAAAAGTGCAAGGTGATGTACCAAGTGCTGTTGTGGAAGCTGCAGCAAGTTTTCCAGAAGATCTAGCTAACATATTTCATGAAAGTGACTACACCAAAAAATAGATTTTTAATGTGGGTGATACAGTCTTACACTGGAAGAAGATTCCATCTAGGGCTTTTATAGCTAGAGAGATAAATCAATGTCTGACTTCAAAGCTTCAAAGCACAGGCTGATTCTGTTGTTAGGGGCTAATGCAGCTGGTGACATTAAGTTGAAACCAATGCTCATTTACTATTCTGAAAATCTTAATGCCCTTCACAATTATGCTAAATCTATTCAGTCTGTGCTCTATAAATGGAACAACAAAGCCCAGGTAACAATGCGTCTGTTTAAAACACGGTTTACTGAATATTTTAAGTCCATGGTTGAGACCTACTGCTCAGACAAAAGAGGTTTCTTTCATAAAACTACATAATACTGCTGCGCACAGTGTACCTGGGCACCCAAGTGTTATGATGGAGATTAATGTTTTCATTACTGATAACACAACATCCATTCTCCAGCTTGTGAATCAATTAGTAATTCTGACTTTCAAGTCTTATTATTCATAAAACACATTTTGTGGGGTATAGCTGCCATAGATATTTATTCTTCTGATAGATCTGATCAAAGTAAACTGAAAACCTTATGGAAATAATTTACCATTCTAGATGCCATTAAGAACAATTGTGATTTAGGAAAGGAGGTCAAAATATTAACATTAACAGGAATTTGAAATATATTTATTTCAGCCCTCATGGATGACTTTTAGGGGTTCAAGAATTCAGTGAAGGAAGTCTGCAGATATGGTAGAAATAACAAGAGAACTGGTATTCAAAGTGGAGCCTGGAGATGTGACTAAATTGGTGCAATCTCACAAAAAAAAAAAAAACTAGAACAGGCAAGGAGTTGCTTTTTATAGACAAGCAAAGAAAGTGGTTTCTCAAGATGAAACCTACTCCTGGTGAAGATGCTGTGAACATCATTGAAATTACAATGAAGGGCTTAGAATATTACCTAAACATCCTTGATAAAGCAGGGGCAGGGTTTAAGAGGACTGACTAATTTTGAAAAAAAAAGACTTACTGTGGGTAAAATGCTGTCAAAGAGCATTGCATGACGTGGAGAAATTTTTCATGAAAGGAAAAGTCAAATGATGGGGCAAACTATGCATTTGTCTTATTTTTAAGAAATTGCCACAGCCATCCCAATCTTTACCAACCACCACCGTCATACATTAACAGCCATCAGCATTGAGGCAAGACCCTGCACAAGCAAAAAGATTACAACTCACTGAAGGCTCAAATGATTGTTAGCATTTTTAAGCAATACCTTAATTTTTCACTAAGGTATGTACATTTTTTGGATATAATGCTAGTGAACACTTAGACTAGAGTATAGTGCAAATATAGCTTTTATAGGCACTGACTGAGAAACCAAAAAATTTGCGTGACTTTATTTGTTGAAATATTCACTTAATTGTGGTGGTCTGGAAATGAACCCACAGTGTCTTTCAGGTATACCTGTATTTGGAGATACGGTTTCCTGGGGGTAATTTAAGTTAAACTTACTAGTATAATTATTAGCAAGTAACATATGCAGTGGATACTCTCATCATGTATCTGTCTTTCACTCTATCCTTACTCTCCAACCCATCCTTTTCTTAGCTTTATCACCATTATAGAGAAGACTGAATATTTTCCCTCGATATGATGTGCTAAATCATTTGGTGCTTAAATATTCTGACTATGGCCATATTAGAGTGAGATATAGGTAAGGAAGTGCCATGATCTTCCTCTTTAAAATAAATTCAGGACAGTTATTCAGGTGAGTGTCAAGATACTGTGGAAGTCAAGGGTGGGGAAGGGGTGAATTCATATTTATTGATTGACAGACACTGACCTAGGCAGTGGGGCCATAAAAAGAGATGACTAATTAGTTCTATAACTTTCTGGAGTTTCTGTTATAGAAAGATAATAAGACAGTAAGTAATTAAAACAATAAGCAAGATAATTTTATATGTTTATATTATATGTTAACATGCTAACAAAGGAAAATGGCAGAGTGATGTGATAAACAGCAACAGGAAAGGGGCAACATCAATTTGTGTGGTCAAGGAAAGACCTCCATAAGAGGACAAGGGTAGTGATATCCCCTTTATCATTTTTTATTGCATCTGTTTGATTCTTCTCTCTTTTCATCTTTATTAGTCTTGCTAGTGGTCTATCAATTTCGTTGATGTTTTCAAAAAAATCAGCTCCTGGATTCATTGATTTTTTGAAGGGTTTTTTGTGTCCCTATTTCCTTCAGTTCTGCTCTGATCTTAGTTATTTCTTGCCTTCTGCTAGCTTTTGAATGTGATTGCTCTTGCTTCTCTTTTAATTGTGATGTTAGGGTGTCCATTTTAGATCTTTCCTGCTTTCTCTTGTGGGCATTTAATGCTATAAATTTCCCTCTACACACTACTTTGAATGTGTCCCAGAGATTCTGGTATGTTGTGTCTTTGTAATCGTTGGTTTCAAAGAACATCTTTATTTCTGCCTTCATTTCGTTATGTACCCAGTAGTCATTCAGGAGCAGGTTGTTCAGCTTCCATGTAGTTGAGCGGTTTTGAGTGAGTTTCTTAATCCAGAGTTCTAGTTTGATTGCACTGTGGTCTGAGAGACAGTCTGTGATAATTTCTGTTCTTTTACATTTGCTGAGGAGTGCTTTACTTCCAACTATGTGGTCAATTTTGGAATAGGTGTGGTGTGATGCTGAAAAGAATGTATATTCTGTTGATTTGGGGTGGAGAGATCTGTAGATGTCTATTAGGTCCACTTGGTGCAGAGCTGAGTCCAATTCCTGGATATCCTTGTGAACTTTCTGTCTCATTGATCTGTCTAATGTTGACAGTGGGGTGTTAAAGTCTCCCATTATTATTGTGTGGGAGTCTAAGTCTCTTTGTAGGTCTCTAAGGACTTACTTTATGAATCTGGGTGCTCCTGTATTGAGTGCATATATATTTAGGACAGTTAGCTCTTCTTGTTGAATTGATCCCTTTACCATTATGTAATGGCCTTCTTTGTCTCTTTTGATCTTTGTTGGTTTAAAGTCTGTTTTATCAGAGACTAGGATTGCAAATCCTGCCTTTTTTTGTTTACCATTTGCTTGATAGATCTTCCTCCATCCCTTTATTTTGAGCCTATACCAATCCCACAGAAATACAAACTACCATCAGAGAATACTATAAACACCTCTCCGCAATTAAACTAGAAAATCTAGAAGAAATGGATAAATTCCTCAACACATACACCGTCCCAAGACTAAACCAGAAAGTTGAATCTCTGTATAGACCAATAACAGGCTCTGAAATTGAGGCAATAATTAATAGCTTACCAACCAAAAACAGTCCAGGACCAGATGGATTCACAGCCGAATTCTACCAGAGGTACAAGGAAGAAGGAGCTGGTGCCATTCCTTCTGAAACTATTCCAATCAGTAGAAAAAGAGGGAATCCTCCCTAACTCATTTTATGAGGCCAGCATCATCCTGATACCAAAGACTGGCAGAGACACATAAAAAAAGAGAATTTTAGACCAATATCCCGGATGAACATCGATGCAAAAATCCTCAATAAAATACTGGCAAACCGAATCCAGCAGCACATCAAAAATCTTATCCAACATGATCAAGTGGGTTTCATCCCTGGGATGCAAGCCTGGTTCGATGTATGCATATCAATAAATGTAATCCAGCATATAAACAGAACCAATGACAAAAACCACATGATTTTCTCAATAGGTGCAGAAAAGGCCTTTGACAAAATTCAATAACCCTTCATGCTAAAAACTCTCAATAAATTAGGTATTGATGGGATGTATCTCAAAATAATAAGAGCTATCTATGACAAACCCATGGCCAATATCATACTGAATGGACAAAAACTGGAAGCATTCCCTTTGAAAACTGACACAAGAGAGGGTTGCCCTCTCTCACCACTCCTATTCAACATAGTGTTGGAAGTTCTGGCCAGGGCAATCAGGCAGGAGAAGGAAATAAAGGGTATTCAATTAGGAAAAGAGGAAGTCAAATTGTTGCTGTTTGCAGATGTCATGACTGTGTATCTAGAAAACCCCATTGTCTCAGCCCAAAATCTCCTTAAGCCAATAAGCAACTTCAGTCTCAGCATACAAAATCAATGTGCAAAAATCACAAGCATTCTTATACACCAATAACAGAGGGAGAGCCAAATTATGAGTGAACTCCCATTCACAATTGCTTCAAAGAGAATAAAATACCTAGGAATCCAACTTACAAGGGATGTGAAGGACCTCTTCAAGGAGAACTACAAACCACTGCTCAATGAAATAAAAGAGGATACAAACAAATGGAAGAACATTCCATGCTCATGGGTAGGAAGAATCAATATTGTGAAAATGGCCATACTGCCCAAGGTAATTTATACATTCAATGCCATCCCCATCAAGCTACCAATGACTTTCTTCACAGAATTGGAAAAAACTACTTCAAAGTTCATATGGAACCAAAAAAGAGCCCTCATCGCCAAGTCAATCCTAAGCCAAAAGAACAAAGCTGGAGGCATCACACTACCTGACTTCAAACTATACTACAAGGCTATAGTAACCAAAACAGCATGATATTGGTACCAAAACAGAGATATAGACCAATGGAACAGAACAGAGCCCTCAGAAACAATGCCACATATCTACAACTATCTGATCTTTGGCAAACCTGACAAAAACAAGCAATGGGGAAAGGATTCCGTATGTAATAAATGGTGCTGGGAAAACTGGCTAGCCATATGTAGAAAGCTGAAACTGGATCCTTTCCTTACACCTTATAAAAAATTAAGTCAAGAAGGGTTAAAGACTTAAATCTTAGACCTAAAAACCCTAGAAGAAAACCTAGGCATTACCATTCAGGACATAAGCATGGGCAAGGACTTCATGTCTAAAACACCAAAAGCAATGGCAACAAAAGCTAAAATTGACAAATGGGATCTAATTAAACTAAAGAGCTTCTGCACAGCAAAAGAAACCACCATCAGAGTGAACAGGCAACCTACAGAATGGGAGAAAATTTTTGCAGTCTACTCATCTGACAAAGGGCTAATATCCGGAATCTACAATGAACTCAAACAAATTTACAAGAAAAAAACAAACAACCCCATCAAAAAGTGGGTGAAGGATATGAACAGACACTTCTCAAAAGAAGACATTTGTGCAGCCAAAAAACACATGAAAAAATGCTCATCATCACTGGCCATCAGAGAAATGCAAATCAAAGCCACAATGAGATACCATCTCACACCAGTTAGAATGGCGATCATTAAAAAGTCAGGAAACAACAGGTGCTGGAAAGGATGTGGAGAAATAGGAACACTTTTACACTGTTGGTGGGACTGTAAACTAGTTCAACCATTGTGGAAGTCAATGTGGCGATTCCTCAGGGATCTAGAACTAGAAATACCATTTGACCCAGCCATCCCATTACTGGGTATATACCCAAAGGATTATAAATCATGCTGCTATAAAGACACATGCACAGGTATGTTTATAGCAGCACTATTCACAATAGCAAAGACTTGGAACTAAGCCAAATGTCCAACAATGATAGACTGGATTAAGAAAATGTGGCACATATACGCCATGGAATACTATGCAGCCATACATATGTCCCTTTGTAGGGACATGGATGAAGCTGGAAACCATCATTCTCAGCAAACTATCACAAGGACAAAAAACCAAACACCACATGTTCTCAATCATAGGTGGGAATTGAACAGTGAGAACACATGGACACAAGAAGGGGAACATCACACTCCAGGGCCTGTTGTGGGGTGGGTGGAGGGTGGAGGGATAGTATTAGGAGATATACCTAATGTTAAATGACGAGTTAATGGGTGCAGCACACCAACATGGCACATGTATACATATGTAACAAACCTGCACGTGGTGCAAATGTACCCTAAAACTTAAAGTATAATAAAAATAAAAGAGGTCAAGGGAAGGCCTGTGTAACAAATAATAATGAAAAGGGACCTAAATGACCAGAAAATAGTTTCCATGAAGAGATCAGAAGAAGGATATTCAAGCCACATAAAATTGCAAATACAAAGGCAGAAATAAGCTTGACGTTTAGAAAGAACAAGACATTTTAAAAACCTGTAGATTGAACACAGAGTCATGGGAGAGAATGGTGAGAGAGAAGGTTAAAGAGAACTGACATATGGGTTTGTTGGCCAGAGCAAAGAATTTAAATTTTGTTTTGTGTAGAATGGAAGCCATTGGATTGGCTATGTAGAGGAGTAATGTATGATTGACATTTGAAAACTAGTCCTCTAGTTTTAATTACATTATATTATATATAATATAATATATAATTATATTAATTATATTAAAGTATAATAATAAAATTTTAAAAAAACCCGCAATATCACCATCATATCTAAGAAATAAGGATTTTTTTTTTTTAGGAAAGTGACTTTTTTAATTATTTCAATAGGTTTTTGGGGAACAGGTGCTCTTTGGTTATATGAATAAGTTATTTAGTGGTAATTTCTGAGGTTTTGGTGCACGCATCACCCAAGCAGTGTATGCTGTACCCAATGTGTTGTCTTTTATCTCTCACCCCTCTCCCACCTTTCCCCCAAGAGCCCAAAGTCCATTGTATCATTCTTATGCCTTTGCGTCCTCATAGCTTAGCTCTCATTTTTTTTATTATTTTTATTTTTAGATGAAATCTCGCTTTTGTTGCCCAGCCTGGAGTGCAATGGCACGATCTTGGCTCACCGCAACCTCTGCCTCCTGGGTTCAGGCGATTCTCCTGCCTCAGCCTCCTGAATAGCTGGGATTACAGGCGCCCACCATCACACCTGGTTAATTTTTATATTTTTAGTAGATATGGGGTTTCACCATGTTGGTCAGGCTGGTCTGAAACTCCTGACCTCAGGTGATCTGCCTCCCAAAGTGCTGGGATTACAGGCATGAGCCACCGCGCCCAGACAGCCTCCATTTATGAGTGAGAACATACAATGTGTGGTTTTCCATTCCTGAGTTACTTAGCATCATCAAATATCCTGCCAGCATTTAAGTTCCAGCTTACCTTATAAAGGTGTCTGTTAGAATTGGGATTTAAATAAAGTTTGTATATTGCACAATTGAAAAAAAAAAAGAAAACTAGTCCTCTAGTTGATCAATTGCATTAAAATGTCCTCGAGGTGGGGGATGGGACATCAGAATGCTTTTAATGATTGACTCAAGTCAGTCTTGTGATCAGACACTTTGAAAATTTTTGTCTTAAATGAAGAGTGCCAACATTAGCCACCAGAAAAGTGGTACCTTAGTAGGTGCAAATATATCTTAACCCTAAAACTCAGATAAATTTGTTCACTCTGATTCTGTCCCAGGAGCATTTATACAAATCAGAATTTTCCATTTAAATTAACTTGCTCCATGATTTCCTGGAGCTTATATTCTAGAGAAGCAAGTGAGATAATAAATTATTAAACAAAAGGGACATCAGTTCCTATCATAAAGTTAAAATGACATTAAACAGCAAATAAAAAACACCATGACAAGTCAAGAAAGAAACTGCAGAAGAAAGAAAAACTTTTTTCTTCCTTTGTGAACAAAGGACTTAGCATGTTCCTTTTGCAATGGGCCCAGAAAATTTTGTATCTTACCCTGTTTATAGATTTTCTTCATCTGTAAGATCAGGATTGAACTTATAGTTTAAAGATTACATAAAAATAAAACCCATATAGTACTTTGCAGAATGCCTCACAAATGTAGGTGTTCAATAAAAGTTTCTCCCCCTCCCCCCTTCTACTGTTCACCCTTAACTAAGAACATGTTCACTAAGACACTTAAACTCCAGGATATCATTGGCTTCTTCACCTATAAAATAAGTAGGTTTGGAGAGACACTGTCTGAGGTCTGTTATGTGCAGGCAGCATCGTGCTTTTTCTCAGCAATGTAAAGGGGGGCTGATGCCAAAACATCACAATCATGTGTCATAGCATGATTCAGGAGCACCTGTCAGCTCAGAGAATAGCTTCTATGAATTATTCAACTTCACTGTACCTTGTAAAGAGAAGTATCTGTTAAAAGGATCTCTAACCTGTTGCATTTGTTTCTAAGGACTTTGATGTTTTAATTATTAATAAAATATTAATATATGTATGTTAGTATTTTAAAATATTATCTTATTACAAGGTAGTTGTGCCTACATTTTATTTTTAAATCTGGTGATTAAAATCTTTGCTATTATACTTTAGACTTTACATAAAAAATATAGCATACACACATTATACTGTGCGTGAAAATCAATCTAAAACTAAATAATTTTTAGGCCTGCTTTTAAAAATACCATGTCAGACTTTATAAAGTATGCAATAGATTATTTCTGTTTTTTGCAAGATTAAATTTAAAATTATAAGTAACCTTTAAGATAGACTAATATGTGCTTAAAGGGAAGAAAAATGATTTTCCTCATGCTTCCTTTTCACTCTTCCATCCCCTCTAAAATGAGAAACTTCTCATCTAAATCTAATAGCAAATATCACAAAAATATGTAGAAAACAATCTGAAACAAAATGAGAAAACATCAGTATCATGGGACAAGAAGTTGAAAAGATAGAAAAACATCTCATTAAATGGCAGGGGATTAAATAGAAAATTAGAGCACAGGTTTTCAGAAAGACCAATTCACTTTATATATTAGGGCTTAAGAATTTGGACCTTTGCCTAAGTATAGTACAAGAAGCAGTTTATCAATTACTTCTTAGTTACTTTAGTAGTGTACAGACATATTTACACATTGAGTAATGTACATGTTTATTAGTGTACAACACACATATTACTTTAGCTGAATGTAGATAAACTAAAATCATATAAATGTGGTAAGGAGGGTAATTCATGTAAATATTATTCATTATAAGTATATAACAGTTTAATTTTTCACATTAGTTACCTGAAGTAACACATTAAAGAAGAGGGTTGTACTTGATAAAGAAGAGGGTTTTACTCAAAAACATCAGTAGTAAATGCATGATACTAAAGGCTGGGTTTTTCCTAAGATCATTTTAAGGGAGATCCTGGTAATTAATTCTTATCTGTATCTCAGGATAAATGCTTATCATAATTGATAAATGTTTATCAATAATTTTTCTATACATATATAATGTTTAGCAGGATATAAACTTATTTTAATAGGGGGATTTTAAAGTTACAATTATGTCCACATAAACTGATGAGGCCAACTATGAGACAGCCGTCTTGGCAAAAAATGAGTCTTCAATGGAAGCATCATGTACACATATCAAATTCACAACAAGACAATGATATAGCTACAAAATGACAAGGAAATTCATCATTAAGGGTTGAACAGGTCTTTTTGTGAGAGGCTTATTTATAGATTCCAAGAAAGAAAGTGTCTTTTACTGGTTAACCTATCTGGTAGCTTTTTGTGAACTGATGAATAAATATATTCATGCCTGTAAATGAAAGTGACCCCTATGGAGGAAAGCTGGGATAGTGCATGAATAGATTTACGAATAATTGGAGTGGATTTAAATGTGTTGCATTTAAAAGGATTGGTTCCTTCTTATTTGATCTTTTGTATAATTACAATATGATGAAGATCGTGCTAATTATTATAATATTGTCCTCATTCAATGCCATTTATCTGAAGAGATCAAAGACATTTAGAAATCTCAGCTAAATAATCCATTGTGGTAAGCATCACAGGAAATATGTTTGTCTAAGGAACAGCGAAGCAAAATAAAATGTGCTCATGTGAAAAGCAAAGCAACTTTATTTGGCTTAAAATTTGCTTTTAAGTTTTCTTCCACAGAGCTGAGAAGCTGCCTAACAAGTCTGATTAGGTCAATAATGCATTTAACTGTGGAGCTCTAAGGCTAAGTATTAAATGTTCTCAGACCCTTTCCTCTTTTTAGAACCTCATGTAAAAATACGACAGGTTAGGTCAGGCACAGTGGCTCATGCCTGTAATCCCAGCACTTTGGGAGGCCGAGGCGGGCTGATCATCTGAGGTCGGGAGTTTGAGACCAGCCTGGCCAACATGGTGAAACCTCATCTCTACTAAAAATTGTTTTTAAAAAAATTAGCCGGACCTGGTGGCGGGCGCCTGTAGTCCCAGCTACTCGGGAGGCTGAGGCAGAGAATCGCTTGAACTCAGGAGGCAGAGATTTCAGTGAGCAGAGATCGCACCACTGCACTCCATATTCATACTAAGCCACTACCTGTGAGAATTGCTAAGAAAGTTTGAGGAGATTATAAACAAGGAAACTATTTAGGGTAAAAAATATCAGAATTTAGGAGTCTGTTAAGAATGCTATGTAATTTCAGTCTGAATATAGTTGATCCGAAGAGAAATAGAGAATATAAAGTATGTGACATTGATTTGCTATGTGTGAAAGCTATTGGCCATTCTTCATTTCTTTCACATCTAAAAGGAAAAATCCGACACATTTTTACCCATCTCGAAGTACAATTTATTTTCAACCAGAAGAAGATTCCAAAGCCATTTTAATAGATATTTTCATTAATAAAAAATGAAATAATTTCCTAGGTAAATAACATTTAATAATTGCATAAATTATGGCATTCATTGTGTCGTCCATAGTATCTCACTTATATGAGTCACATAATAAGTGTTTATGGAATTAAAATTATGTGGCATTGTCATATTTAATATTACAGAGGTATTTGATATAAACCTATGCAATTCATGGCCTATTTGGTCCTAAAGCAGGAATGATATTAAAGTCCGCACTTTTACTAGAAAGGCAATATTTACTTTTTTATCCAGTTCCAAGATTCTACTGCATATTCTGTCTCAAAAAGAGCCTAGATTTCTTCAGAATTATATATATATATATATATATATATATATATATATATATATATATATATATTCAACTATGAGTATGAGGAATACTAATGTCATTTTTTAAAGTTTGAAATCATATTCCATTTTTATGTGAATACTAAAAGACGATTAGGAACTCTCCTCTAGGGTTCTCTCAAAGAAACCAGGTGCCTGGATTCTCAGAAATTGATCCTTAAGGGGAGAGCTGGCTCTAGAATGAGAACAAGGTTAGAGAATTGTATGAATTTTATGCCTTCCTCTTCTGATTAGGTGCCAAGACAGCCACATAAAACACTGCTAAATAGGCAGCATTAGGAAATGCTACAATGAAAAGAATGAGCTCAAAAGACAAAGAGTAAGGAGATTTCCATTAAAACGTCAAGTAATGCAAATATTAGCAATGTCTATAGAATTAAGTTTTACATATTGTTCAAATCACTTAAAAGTATCCAAAGCACATGGTAATCATTCACTTTATTCTCTATATAAGGACTATTCCAAATGCTCACAATATTATCTCTATTTAGTAAAGATAATCATTTTTACATTCAGAATTTTAAAAAATATAATCAGTATATACCTCACACAATAATATTTGCTGTGGTTAGTGGCTGTGAGGTGAGGTACAGGATGGAGGAACATACAAATATTTAAGAAGTTCCTATCATAAAGAACTTTACAGAACTATTCAAAAGCTAACATAATAAGCAATAACTATTGGATATTAATAATTAAAAAATAATTATGTAAAAGCTAATATAATTAATAAGCCATGTATTTCTATTTTTGTCTTTGATTATTATCTAGAGCATAATTTCTACATTTATGATAAAATATAAAATTTTTGAGTTACAATTGAAGTAGTGCAAATTCCTATTCTAATGAAAATTTTGACACGAAAGTATGATATATTTATGAATAATACTCATATATACACATATATTTGAAAAGATAAAGAGTCACAGTATTTCCTTCGAACGACAAAGAGGGTTATATTATTGAAGGAGGCATCATGAAGTTTGTTCAAGGGAGAAAAACATTGTGAACACTTTTTATTATTTGAAGTTTGAACTTTAAGAAAATGACATAAAATTCTGATTAATATGAAAGGGCTAATTGCTATCCAGTGGAAGTGTGCATTAATTCCCTCACATCTGTTCATACTTATTTCACAAATATGAGAAGTGGCACTGAGTACCACTTGTGCCATATTCAGTGTCAGCTATTGGGGACACTAAAATTGTTTATAAAATATATTAATTAAAATATTATTAAAAATGAATCTTACATTCAAGCAAGAATGGCAATTCTTTTTAAAAATACAATAAAATTTGGTGAGGTTGTGATAGAGAAAGTAAAAAGTAGGTACTATGGGAGCACAGGAAGTTGCATTACCAGAAATGGGGATGTTTAAGCTAAGAATAGGAGACAGTCAGCAAAAATGTGATTAGAAAAACAAAAGGTTTCACTGCTGACAGTTTGTGCAACAGAAGTTAGGCAGAAAGACAGAGACAAACATATCAGAGGGAGAATAGTCTTGCTTGAAGTCTACAGGTAGTTGCCTCACTTGTATGTGTCTCCATGATATCTACACTTACCTCCATGATAGTGCCCGTAGCAGTAACTTGCATTTCATAAGATACATGTCTTTTCACCTTAGATCCATACATTATTTTCTTTTTCAACTAGCTATTCTCAAGTGCTTAACAAAATTAAAACTCAATAAATAATTTTACCCTCACCTAAGGCAGCACAGCTACTCATTCCTCCCTGTTTATGAAACATGTGGATGATAGATGATAGACAGATAGATGATAGATAGATAGATGATAGATAGATAGATAGATAGATAGATAGATAGATAGATAGATAAACAGATAGGCTCAATTCTGTCCCTTCAAAATTCATATGTTAAAGTCCTTGCCCCCAATACCTCAGAATGTGACTGTTTTTGAAGATAGGGTCTTAAAATCAGTGATAAAATTAGAATGAGGTCATTAGAATTGGTTTTAATACAACATCACTGGGGCCTTATAGAAAGAGTAGATTAGGAGATAGACATCAAGGCAAGATCATATGAGGACTCGGGATAAGATGGCAATCTATAAGCCAAAGAGTGATACCGCAGGAGAAAATAAATACAAATATCCTATTGTCTAAACCACCGTGTGTGTGCGTGTGTGGGTGTGTGTGTGTGTGTGTGTGTGTGTGTGTGTGTATATATATATCCCAAAATAGATCATCTTTTTGGATGGCTTAACTAGCATTAAACCGTTAATTTTGGCCAATAGATGGTTGACTTTGATTTGGGAAATGTGACAATGATACAGTTCACCAAGTTTGACAAATTCGTGCAGAAAGACATGTGTTGTTACTTTCTTAACAAGAAGCCTATGGATGTTTTCAAGAAACCATGTCATTTCAACTTATTAATCATAATTTACAGTGTTTGATATGGATTGTTACTAATCAGGATTATGCTTTGGGAATGGAAAGTGATCTCAAGATCATTTTAACTGAGAAATAAGAATTTGAGTTAAGATATCACTCACTGAGAAGAAAAGGAAGGGTGAAGTTAAGAGACAATTTAGTTCTATTTTGATATTAACTGTGATATGTAGGACAAGAGAAAAGAATAAAATAAAGATGGCATTCAGATTTCAGGTTTAGAGGATAGTTACCATCAACTAAAGTATAAAACACCCTCTCACAACAAAAAGAGCAGAGTTGAGAGAGAAAAAGATAGAGTCAATTTTAGATATTCTAAATTTGAAGTGTTCGTGTATTATTAAGTAGAGATGTATTAGTGGTTTAGTGAATAAAGATGATCAGATGGTTGTTAGTGAAATTCAGAGAGGCTAATGTTGGAGACAAACAAAATCAACAGAGTCGACAATGTGTGATAAGAAAGAAGGATTTGCATGTTTTTATCTTAAAATTCATGATGTTTAGTAACAAACACTAGCTTAAGAGATACATGTTATGGGTTACAACTGGAAGAAACCAAATTTATAAAAAAAATGCTTCTCTAGAAAAGTAGCAAAATCATCAGTCTTGTTTAACGTAATCAAAATGTTCTTTTTTATTATATTTTAAGTTCTGGGATACATGTTCAGAACATGCAGGTTTGTTACATAAGTATACACATGCCATGGTGGTTTGCTGCACCCATCAACACGTTATCTACATTTTAAGCGCCACATGCATTAGTTATTTGTCCTAATGCTATCCCTCTCCTTGCCCCCCACACCTCCCAACCCCCGACAGGCCCTAGTGTATTATGTTCCCTTCCCTCTGTCCATGTGTTCTCATTGTTCAACTCTCACTTATGAGTGAGAACATGTGGTGTTTGCTGTTCTGTTCCTGTGTTATTTTGTTGAAAATAATGGTTTCCAGCTTCATCCATGTCCCTGCAAAAAACATGAACTCATTCTTTTTTATGGCTGCATAGTATTCCATGGTGTATATGTGTCAAATTTTCTTTACCCAGTCTATCATTGATGGGCATTTGGGTTGCTTCCAAGTCTTTGCTATTGTGGATAGTGCTGCAGTAAACATACGTGTGCATGTGTCTTTACAGTAGAATGATTATAATCCTCTGGGTATATACTCAGTAATGGGATTACTGGGTCAAATTGTATTTCCGATTCTAGATCCTTGAGGAATTCCACACTGTCTTCCACAATGGTTGAAACACTCCCCCCAACAGTGTAAAAGTGTTCCTATTTCTCCACATCCTCTCCAGCATCTGTTGTTTCCCGACATTTTAATGATTGCCATTCTAACTGGCATGAGATGGTATCTCATTGTGGTTTTGATTTGCATTTCTCTAATGACCAGTGATGATGAGCTTTTTTTGTTTGTTTGTTTGTTGGCCGCATAAATGTCTTATTTTGAGAAGGGTCTGTTCATATCCTTCGCCCACATTCTGATGGGGTTGTTTTTTTCTTGTAAATTTAAGTTCCTTGTAGATTCTGGATATTAGCCCTTTGTCAAACTGATAGATAGCAAAAATTTTCCCCTATTCCGCAGGTTGCCTGTTCACTCTGATGATAGTTTCTATGGCTGTGCAGAAGCTCTTTAGTTTAATTAGGTCCCATTTGTCAATTTTGGCTTTTGTTGCAATTGTTTTTGGTGTTTTAGTCATGAAGTCTTTTCCCATGCCTATGTCTTGAATGGTATTGCCTAGGTTTTCTGGGTTTTAGGTCTTATCTTTAAGTCTTTAATCCATCTTGAGTTAATTTTGGGGTATGGTGTAAGGAAGGGGTCCAGTTTCTGTTTTCTGCATATGGCTAGCCTGTTTTCCCAGCACCATTTATTAAATAGGGAATCCTTTCCCCGTTTCTTGTTTTTGTCAGGTTTGTCAAAGATCAGATGGTTTTAGATGTGTGGTGTTATTTCTGAAGCCTGTTTTCTGTTCCATTGGTCTATATGTGTGTTTTGGTACCGGTACCATGATGTTTTGGTTACTGTAGACTTGTAGTATAGTTTGAAGTAAGGTGGCATGATGTCTCCAGCTTTGTTCCATTTGCTTAGGATTCTCTTGGCTATACAGGCTCTTTTTTGATTCCATACAAAATTTAAAGTAGATTTCTCTAATTCTGTGAAGAAAGTCAATGGTAGCTTGATGAGAATAGTACTGAATCTATAGATTACTTTGAGCAGTATGGACATATTCACAATATTGATTCTTCCTAACCATAAGCATGGAATGTTTTTCCATTTGTTTGTATCCTCTCTTATTTCCTTGAGCAATGGTTTATAGCTCTCCTTGAAGAGATCCTTTACATCCCTTGTAAGTTATATCCCTAGGTATTTTATTCTCTTAGTAGCAATTGTGAATGGGAGGTCACTCATGATTTGGCTCTTATCTATTATTGGTGTATAGGAATGCTGTGATTTTTGCACATTGATTTTGTATCCTGGGACTTAGCTGAAGTTGCTTATTAGCTTAAGGAGTTTTGGGGCTGAGATGAAGGGGTTTTCTAAATATACAATCATGCCATCTGCAAACAGAGGCAATTTGACTTCCTCTTTTCCTAATTGAATATCCTTTATTTCTTTCTCTTGCCTGATTTCCCTGTCCAGAACTTCCAATACTATGTTGAGTAGAAGTGGTGAGAGAGGGAATCCTTGTCTTGTGCCAGTTTTCAAAGGGAATGCTTCCAGCTTTTGCCCATTCAGTATGATATTGGTTGTGGGTTTGTCATGAATAGCTCTTATTTTTTTGAGATACGTTCCATCGATACCTAATTTATTGAGTGTTTTTAGCATGAAGTGGTATTGACTTCTATCGAAGGCCTTTTCTGTATCTGTTGAGATAATCATGTGGTTTTTGTCATCGGTTCTGTTTATGTGATGGATTAAGTTTATTGATTTGCATATGTTGAACCAGCCTTGCATCCCAGGGAGGAAGCCAACTTGATAGGGTTGGATAAGCTTTTGATGTGCTGCTGGATTCGATTTGCCAGTATTTTATTGAGGATTTTCACATCGATGTTCATCAGGGATACTGGCCTGAATTTTTTTTTTTTCCCAGTGTTTCTGCCAGGTTTTGGTATCAAGATGACACTGGCCTCATACAGTGAGTTAGGGAGGAGTTTCTCTTTTTCCATTGTTTGGAATAGTTTCAGAAGGAATGGTACCAGCACCTCTTTGTACCTCTTGTAGTATTCGGCTGTGAATCTGTCTGGTCCTGAGCTTTTTTAGGTTGGTAGGCTATTAATTACTGCCTCAATTTCAGAACCTATCTTATTACATGATTTATATTTAAGCCCTTGAACCATCTTGAGGTGATTTTTGTATAAGGTGAGAGATGAGGATCCAGTTTAATTCTCCTACATGTGGCTTCCCTATTATCCCAGTACCATTTGTTGTATTGTGTGCCCTTTTCCCACTTCATATTTTTGTTTGCTTTGTCGAAGATCAGTTGGCTGTAAGTATTTGGGTTTATTTCTGGCTTTTCTATTCTGTTCCATTGGTCTATGTGCCTGTTTTTATATGAATATCATGCTGTTTTTGTGACTATGGCCTAATAATATAGTTTGAAGTCAGGTAATGTGATGCCTCCCGATTTTTTTGTTTTTGCTTTTGCTTAGTCTTGCTTTGGCTAATTCCACATGAATAAATTCCATATTAATTTTAGGATTTTTTTCTAGTTCTATGAAGAATGATGGTGGTGTTTTGATGAGAATTGCATTGAATTTGTAGATTGCTTTTGGCAGTATGGTCACTTTCACAATATTGATTCTACGCATTCATGAGTATGGGATGTGTGTCCATTTGTTCATGTCATCTATGATTTCTTTCATCAGTGTTTTGGAGCTTTCCTTGTAGAGGCCTTTCACCTCCTTTGTTAGGTATATTCCTAAGTGTTTTATTTTCTTTTTGCATCTCTTGTAAAGGGGTTGAGTTCTTGATTTGATTCTCAGCTTGGTCACTGTTGGATCCAGCAATCTCACTACTGGGAATCTACCCAGAAGAAAACAAGTCATGATATGAAAAAGATACTTGTACATGCATATTTATATCAGCACAATTCACAACTGCATAAATATGGAACCAGACCAAATACCCAACAATCGACAAGTGAATTAAAAAATTATGGTATGTGTATATGTACACACACACACACAGAATGAAATACTACTTGGCCATAAACAGGAACAAATTAATGGCTTTGCAGCAACCTGGATGGAACTGTAGACTATTATTCTACGTGAAGTAACTCAGGAATGGAAAACCAAACATCGTATGTTCTCAATCATAAATGGGAGATAAGCTATGAGGACACAAATGCATATGAATGATATAATGGACTTTAGGAATTTGAGGGAAAGGATGGAAATAAGGTGACAGATAAAAGACTAAAAATTGGGTTCACTGTATACTGCTCGAGTGATGGATGCACCAAAATCTCACAAATCACCACTAAAGAACCTACTCAAGCAACCAGATACCACCTGTTCCCCAAAAACATATGAAAATAAAAAAATAAGAGTTAACTTAGTTTAAGAATTTGAAACTTTGAGGCAAACAAAAGTTGTTGGTTTGCTACTATTCATTACTGTATTTTAAGAAAGTAAGATATATCTCAAAGTAATACAAATTAACTCAAAATTCATAATTAAACTACAAGAATCTGGGATATAGGCTAATTACCTAGATACATATACTATAGAAAGAGATAAAGCAAAGTAGAGCTGGTAGGATTGATGCATAAAAGATATGAGGTATTTAAAATAGCCAAACTCATAAAAGCAGACAATAAAATGCTGTTTGTTAGAGGCTGTGAAAAGGAGAAAATGGCAACATGTTGCTCAGTTATGCAAGGTTAATACATTCCAGAGAGTTGCTGTACAACATAGATCCTATAGTTAACAATATTGCATTGTGCACTTTATACTTAATAGAATAGATCTCATGTTAAGTGTTATTACTACAAAACAAAGTCAAACAAACAAAAACCACTCCAAAAGAACACTACAAATATTTTGGGGGTGATAAATATGCTTTAGTACTTTTAGAGGATGGTATTATAGGTGTATACAAGTGTCAAATCTCATCAAAATGTATACATTAAATACGTGCAATTTTTGCATATCAATTATGCCTCTATAAAATTAGAAAAAGAATGTATCAACACTTTGAAAACTTAAAAAATATGAAAAATGCTGGTTTTCTATTTTTGTTCTAGACAGAACTGAAGAATTCAAAACACTAAAAATTTAGAAAATATACTGATAATAGAATATTTTTAGAACAGAGATTGCAAATATAAGATAAATAGTTAAATTTTGGAAATCTTTATTTTTAAGTAGTAGATACTCGTAAAATTTGCTCATTAGCAACTTCCAGCATGCTTATGAATTCCTATAGGAGCAACAAGAATAACTGAGAGGGAATTAATTGGACCCCAATATTTTTCTTTTTCTCTACAAAGCAACTTCAAATGCAAGAAATAAAATTGTTAGAAGGATGTAGGAGAAAACAAAAATGAGAATAAATAAATACTACCCCTCTAGATGTCTTAGATCTGTTTTTCTCCAATTTTGGAATATATAATAATCACCTGAAATACCTGTAAAAATCCAGACTGCTGGATCTGACCTTAGACTGGAACATAAAAATAGCTTGGGCAGGACCCTAAAGTCTGCATTTTTAACAAGAAGTTCTCTGGAGACTTTTAAAATTTGGACCATGTAATAAAAAGTTTTTAAAAAAAGACTCTTTTAGAAAATGCAAGGAAATAATAAAATCAATAAGCTCATTATAGAACTGTGTCTAAAAGTAAAAATGTAGTGGGAAAATGTGGAAGAAATAATATTACAATCAGGTCACAGTTCAAAAATGAACAAAATGATTACTTTAAGATGGAGGACAGGCACAGGAAGTGAGATCAAAACATCTATATTTTAGTTTTATGTCAACTTTCACAAGATTTTGAACATTGTCCTGAAGAAATATTAAGCAATAGTTTTTAATGTTTTAAGTAAACTTTTAAGTTTAGAGTAGTTTCAGATTTACAGAAAGGTTAAAAAGATATTAGAGAGTTCCCATAGTCCCACCCACACTGTTGCTGTATTATAAAGATTTTATTTTAGTAAGGCTTATTTGTAATATGAGACAACACTGACTCTTTACTGTTAATATATATTTATAATTCATTCAGATTTCCATATTCCTTAGCGAGCTATCTTTTTCTGTTTCACGATTCTATCCACAATACCACATCACATTTAATCATAATATCTTCTAAGTCTCTGCTTTGCCATGACAGTTCTTAGACTTTGCTTGTTTTCGGTGATCTTGGCAGTTGAAAAGTCCAGGTTAGGTACTCTATAGAATGCAACTCCATTGGGTTTGTCTGATATTTTTCTCATGGTAAAACTGAATTATAGGCTTTTAAAAGGAAGATCAGAGAGGCAAAGTGCCACTTTAATCACATCATATGAGTAATAGCTTGATTTGATCATTCCACAATGTATGCATGTACCAAATCATCACATTATATTCATAAATATATATATAATTATCTAATTAAAAATAATATAAAACTGCAGAAGACTTTAGATCCTTTTGGTCCTAGAGATGTTACCAAGAGGAATCTGACCAACAAGTTTTACTAATTAGCTTTTATCTGCCATTAATTTGCCTCTTCCACAAGTTGCTGTTGCGAGAGACTAAAAATCCTTTTCGTTTGTCTTGTCACTTCTCTAAAATTGTATTGTTCTTTGTTGAAGATGCCATAATATATATGCTGAATCCAAAGCCATCTCTTTGAGAACTAGTTATTCCCTGGGTATCTCCCATGTGTATATGAAATAAACATGTTAGTAAACTTCTGTTTGTTTTTCTTTTATTAATCTATCTTTTCTTACAGGGGTCCATTCCAACTAATAACTTATTAGAGCTGAAGAAAAAGTTATTTTTCCTCCCCTGTAACACTGATGTCTCCAACTCGAATTCAGTAATCCCTGGATTACAACAGTCAGACTGCCATCGTTAGTCATCCATTCACTTGATTGTTCAATATACATGTATAGTGGTGCTAGCACGTACTCCATGGGAAATAACTTCGTCAACTAGAGTACAGCACTCATGTACATTTACCTTTGTCTTTCATCTTACTGTCTCTAGTCATTTTGCAAATTACTTAGATTAGCACCTTTATACCCTAATCCAATCGGTAAGGTAATTTCATACATTTTTAGTATATTTAGATTTTTTGCCTCAGTCTGAATCCCATCTTGGAATCACTCGAACTTCTATATGATTTTTTAAAATTTGTATACATTAAGAGTCCATGATTGTACTGTAATTTTCTATGGTTTTGATAAATGCATTATTTTGTATATGCACCCTTATAGTATCAGGAAGAAGAATTTCATCAACTTACAGATTTCTTTTGCTACCAGCGAACTTTTTAATTTTTCTAGAGTTTTATATATTCTAGAATGTCTTATGTTTTGAATCATACAGCACGCAGACTTTTCAGAATGGCTTCCTTCATTTGGCAAGAAACATTTAAGATTCATCCATCTTTTTTTTGCCATGACTTGATAGTTCATTCCTTTAGTCATTGAATAGTATTCTATTGTATCTATGTCCTACAGTTTATTTATCTATGTATTTATTAAAGGGCATCTTTGTTGCTTTAATTTTGGGGTTGTGAATAAATCTTCTATAACTTTCATGTTCCATTTATGTGTCTGTATGTGTATGTAAGTTTTTAAATCAGATGGTAAATATCTGGTAGAGCAATTGCTAGATTGCATGGTAAGGCTGTGTGTTGGCTTATAAGAAACTAATGCACCATCCTCCAAAATGACTGTATCATTTTGCATTTCCACTAGCAATGAATGAGAGTTCCTGTTGCTTTCCATTCTCGTGAGAAATTAGTGTTGTCATATCTTTTGGATTTTAATTATTCAAATAGGTCTATAGTATTAGCTTGTCGTTGTGTTTTTTAACTTGCCTTTTCCTAATGACAGATGGTGTTGTATATAATTTTTGTATGCTTATTTAACATAATAGAGAGGTGTACCTTCAGAACTTTTGCACATTTTTAATCTATTTGGTTTCTTATTGTTGAGCTTTTAGGGTTCTCTTTCTGCTTTAGATGCAAGTCCTTTTTCAGATTTTCTTTCAAATATATTCTTCTGGTCTGCGGCTTGCTTTTTCATTCTTTTAACAGTATTTTTGTTGAGCAGAAATTTCAAATTTTAATAAAGTATACCATCTATTCTTTCTTTCATGAATCATTCATTTGGTATTGCATCTAGGACCTCATCCCCAGCCCAGGGTCATGTAGATTTTCTCATGTGTTTTCTTCTAGATCTATTATGGCTTTGCATTTTTCACTTAAGCCTGTTGAGTTAATTTTTGTGTAATGGTTAAGGCCTCTGCCTAGGTTTCTTTAAATGGAGTATGATATAATGGTAAAATGATCAAATACTGATTCACAATGAAATTTTTAAAAGGTAATGGAAAAATAATAAATTACTCACCACTGACATTGCTTAACTCTGGCAACAACATTTTGTAGTGTTCTTCCTTCAATAGGTGGCCATGAACAGGATATGATATAAAATAAAATCTCTAACTCTTGCATATCTTATTTCATATATGATTTGGTACAATTGAAAGAAATTATGAAACAAGTCAAAAAGGTAACAAATATATGATTGGATATTACCATTTTTTTTAAACTGTGAAAATTATTCAAAAGCATTATTCAAAAACACTAAATACCAAAAGGCTCCGTATCTTGATGCTAGTCAATGAAGTGGTTAAAGATAATAACACGAGGAAATTAGAAAAGCTACTTTTACAGGCTCTGAATGCAGTCAATATACTCTGTCATAAGAATATTCAAATTGAGAATATTGAAAACACAGGTGATAAAAATAGGTTGGCTACCTCTGCTATAATTTATTTAGACAGTATCACTTTGACAGCTAATTGGTGGCAGTATCTAAAACACTGAAACTGCAAAGATTTAAAAAAACAGAAATCAATACAAAAAGCGTGAGGGCACAGAAATACGAAAAAGAGGCCAACATTTTACGATTCAATTAATTTTAGTTCAGCCACTATGTGTTAAGACACTTTACTATGCTTTGCTAATAGAAAGCTGAATAACACATCGGGCTTCTCTTTAAGGGGTCCACTGCCTAACAGAACAGAAAACGTGTTCAAATAATGTAAGATGTATATCAAAATAGATGTTTATACAAGAAAGGTGACAGCTCACTGAAGAATTTATAAGTGTGATAGAAGGGCACTCAAAATACAAGGAACAGCAGATGCAATGGTATGAAAGTGTGAAAACTGCATTGTGTATTCACAGATTTATAGATGATTCAGTGATTTTTGAAATTAAAAAAACACAGACTTTCAAGAATTATTTTTCTTAATATATTTTTCACAAATAGATATCCATGTAGGGCCTTGTCATCTTAATATGCGTATAAACAGAAGTTATATCATTTTTAAGTACATTTATTAGAATTCATAAGATAAATGATTCTTCTTTTTTAACCAAGAAATGAAAAAAATTCTTCTGTCCCAACTGTCTACCTCTTGGAATCTTGAAGCATATAGAATGAGTCTATTCAGATTCATTTCTACCCATTCATTTTGATGCCAATCACATACCATATAGTGTCCAGAGTCAGTGGTTGAAAAAATTAAGTGGAAAAAAAAGCATGGTTTACACATAAATTATGTCAACCATAAAAGTGGCATTCCTTAGATGATAGCCCAGTATAATTGTAGCATTTTAAGCACCATTATCCACTATTCTATGCATTTCTATAGCATTGTTCACTCAAGTTTGTAAGATCAATGAAAAAGTTGCTGTTTTATAAAAAAGTAGTATAAAATGCAATTAGATTTTCACAGTTTTGTGCTGAAGCTGGCTAGTAAGACTCGCAGAAGACAGTTGAGTACATTTTTTTTTCCCCAATTCCACATTCAGCGACCGTGTATTGGCAGATTGAAATTGGCCATGGTAGCAG
The DNA here is from genome assembly GCF_000001405.40 of Homo sapiens. NCBI lineage: Eukaryota > Metazoa > Chordata > Mammalia > Primates > Hominidae > Homo > Homo sapiens. The sequence continues at coordinate 88,911,634 of NC_000003.12, forward strand.
TATGTATACAACAGAAATCAGCAAATATGACACATCAGTTTTGTTTTCCCCTGGGGCAACCAGTTATTAAGCACTTTCTAGCATACAACCGAATATTTATTTATGAAAATCTTTTAATATTGGAAGAAAAATTACTTCATAGTTTATAGATCGCATGAACATGATTTTTAAAAAATACACACTCAGAAAAATCTTAATACTAGGTAAGGAACCCTTGATATTATGAATAAAGTGATTATTTATTTTGGAAGTGACTACTATTATTAACATTGAAAATTTTGTTTTCAGCATAAGAAGTTTCTATGGAAATCAAAAATAATGGAATCTAAATTGTTAATATTCTACGTTCTACCTCCAAAATTCTGAAACAATAAAATGAGATTACCACATCAAATTCCATCATGTGAACCACACTAAGATTCCCAATCAACTCTATCATGTATAGGAAAATGATAAGATGCCTGTGAATTTTCACAATCTGCCTGTATTTTGTGTATTAAGCTGTCAGGGACTATCTAAATCACTTCCTTTTCTGTCAGTCTGTCTTCGGACAACATCCTTTGAGACACAACAGCATTCAGCAAAGACCTCCATCCCCAAAGTCTCAAAATGATATGTAAATCCTGCAATTCATCATGCTCTGTGTAGTACAGGTTTAATTCTTCCTCCTAGGCCTCAAGCTGATGAAACATTACTCTGATATACAGTACAAAAGCAGTAACAAAGATGTTCATATCAGTCCTTTGTGAGTTTGTGGCAGGCAGAGAAATCAATGAAGCCAAGGGGACAATAGCTGGAGTTTAAACAGGCTGCTGAAATTTGCTAAGAGGCAGACAAAGGGCCTATGCTGAAAGGAGAGCTGCTGTGGAATTCCTTGGCCCCATTATGCAGCTGAAACAATCCTTACTCAGAGAGTGGATTTGCATCTCTAATAGAGTTCAGGCTCTGTTTGTGAAAGGCTTTTGCTAGGCCTGACCCCATGTCTCAGGAGCACATTGATACCCAGCGCCTTGCCTTTGCCTTGTCCCACACCACAGAGAGCAGTATCATGGGAAAATGCACTAACCTAAAAGAAAGCAAAGGAAGGCAAGAGGAAGGGAAAAAAATTAAAGGCTTGAGGCAGTTTCGGTGGTACTTAGTGGTGAAAATTACTTTGGCAAATAATAGAACCCACGGCTGGTAATTACTGCTAACAAGCTTCCCCCAGCCCAAATGTGACACTTGGGCTGATGTGAGAAAAGCTGATATAGGCCAAGCTTATTAAGCTTGAATGAAAGGAACCCTTTCCCCTATGAAAATACAGCAACTTAGGGGCTTGCAAATCTTGTAATCTAGTGTTACCAATTATTCAGTAAAACAGAAAAATGGTGCTGCAATATTTAAAATCCTTCTTGGATTTAATTCAGGCTGGTGCCCTAATCCCAAGCAATTGTAATCATGAACATCCTTGGTTTCCTAAACATGTACTCTTGGTTCCAAACAAAATATTTTGGGTACTTAACCTACTTCATGCCAAGGACCACTGGGGAAACCTTTCATACTTGATGCCCAGCAGATAACTTGGCAAAACATTTTTCTCTAGAAGATTTTTAAAACTGTAAACAAATACACATAGTTTGAAAGAAGGCAATAGACTCTTGTGCAAAGTATGTCCCCAGAACACTTCCATGACTTATTCATGATATTAATTTCAAATTAAATTTGGTGTGGTTTGACATAGTAATGTTAACCTCTTCATCAACTTTAAAATTGCTGTAATTACCATGGGAAAGTAATCACATAAAATTATAGCATCTATTAACTATCATATTAATAAAATACTGTGCTTTATTTGAGAGTAAACTCGTGTTTCCTGAGTAAAAAATAATTAGGAAAATTAAAGAAGTGTCAGTAATGTATTTTATATGTTACTATATTTACTGCATAAAAGAAAAGATTTTATTCTTCCCTATACAGGACACAGGCATTTATTAAAAGATGAGTATTACTTGTGTGCAGCAATACTTACATGAAAGATAAATGCTTAATTCAGCATTTTGAATTGAATTCCATCAGTATCATCTGGCATATCCATAGTATTGTAAACATTAATATTTTCACAGTTTTTCAATATTAATTGACTCTATGATATAAATGACACTTCTGTTATCTAGCAAACCACTGAAATTTTAAGTTCATTTAAGTCAGTGAAACAAAATAATGTGCCGCTATGAACCTAAATGGGTATAATTGTGACTTGACTTTAAACTTTTCAAAGTAGCTTTAATTTCTTAATACCTCCTTAGTTCATTGTTTGAATGTACTATTTGAATATTTCCAATAATTTGTTTTTCTCCAGCCTAATTACCCTGGGCATGTGGCAAGTATGAGATGTTGTACAATTTTATTATTTTAAGACTTCATATAGACACTGAATGTATATTTTTATGAATTTTTTTTCAAAAAACTTAAAACACATGTTGAACAATATAATAAAGCCAAGGAGTTACACATTTGTCTAATTATTCATTTTGAAAAATATGTGTTTAGTTCTAGAACTCTGTGGTGTTTCATGGTTATGAGGCCTGGAAATCTTACAATGCTCTTCATGCAGCAAAATATTGTTTGTTCATATTGGAAGGATTAGTGCCTCGTGTCACAGTTGACCCATTCACTTGGCACTCAGGAAAGTCAAAATAAAGTTAAAACTTTATATTAAACCAAGAGAGTACATTTAAAATTTTCCTTAGAATCTAAAATTTTGTGCTTTAAAATGATAATATTAACTGAAGACAATTTAAAAGAACTTTACAACATATTTTATAACTAAATCTATGCTGTGCTTATATTCAATTAATTCCCATGGAGAATGATCTATTTTTCTATTCCTACACTGTTGCAAAATCTTAAAGACTCCTTTTTTTTTTTTTTTAAATTAAGATGCTGGCTAAGCTACAACTGTTTTTACAAAATTTATTTTTAAATATCTGCATTTGGCTTATCTCCATCATGATAGTAGGTAAATTTAATCAAATAATTCCTTTATTTCCTAAACATAATAAACACATGATAAACTACTACTTGAAAAATTATTACCCCCTGACCTCAAGCAAAACCCAACATGAGTTTAAAATCTTTCCAAGAAAAATAGAATTGTTCACAAAAAAGCTATTTATAATCAGCGAATAAAATTTGGCAAAAGTTTGTTAATCTGTTTTAGAAATGTTCAATTCAATTTTCAAACTTTATAAAATGATGAAGATAATTTTATAATATGCTGTAGTAAGGAAATGCTCTCTTCTTTCTGATCCCATAATCAGGGAAAAGAAAACCACCAATGGGAACAGTAAAGAAGCTAAATAAATGAGTACAGAATACAACCATTCTTCAGCTGTTTTCTTTAAGCAATGTAATTTTTTTTTCAGATAGAAGGTTGTGTGTGTGCGTGTGTATGTGTGTGTGCACATGATTGTGTGTTTTATTACATTATCTTCACTTTGGAACAAAATATTTACACTTAAAATAAAAATTACTTAGACTTTTTGGTGAGAATGAATGCTATAATTAATTCATATAATTGCTATCCTAATGTGAACCACAGAATGTATTGATTCTGTAATAAGAGTAAGTATATGTTTTCAGTGATTCTTTTTGGGAAAACAAAAATAAATGTAAATGAAAGGAAAGAGAAAAACAAGGGAAGGAGAAGAGAAGTCAGAAGCTTAGAGGACATGAAAGAAGCAGGCAGCGAGATGGGGCAAGAGAGACAGATGTGGCTAAGGGGGTGGTAGGGGAAGGGAGATGACAGAAATATAGGGAAGATAGAGAAAAGAAACTTGTGCTTCACCAGTATGAGCATTTTAATTCATGACACTGTCATAAGTCTATATTCACTAGTATACTTTCTTAAAATCCTGTTTTGCCAGCGGTTCTATTTCTGTTTTATTGAGGCATAATTGACAAATAAAAATTGTGTATATTTTAGGTGTACAATGTGATGTTCTGGCATACATCAACATTGAGAAATGATTACCACAATCAATCTAATTAACATATCCATCACCTCACATAGTTACCTATTACTTTGTGTATGTGGTGAGAACATTAATCCATCTCAGACTTTTTCTAAAATCTGTTTAAAGCTATTTTGTCTCATCACAAGGACAATCCGTAGTTAAAAATAGACTTTATGGGAAAATAATTATTAATAATGTATTAATGTTAATACATTTCTTTGGAGAAAAAAATACAAACTTGATGGACTGTGAAGAGTTTAAAAAAACATGCAAACAAATTGGTTGGCTCATCATATTCTCTAAGCCATCTATTATTATTTTAAGTATATAACAGAGAAAATTAAGGGAAGCACCAGTTTATGAAAGAGAATGTGGTAATTGATATCAAATACTTTGTTCTGCAAAAGTATGTGCTCAAGATTATATCTATACTGTATATAAAATTTTGTACATACAGTTTGAAGCTGAGAAATGATCACCAGATGAGACCAGTCACTGAAAGTGGGAGTGTGTTGAGACCTTCATTCATTGTGATGCTCCAATGAAATTCTTAATTGCTTAATTCTGTACACTGTGTTACTACTTTGTCCAGTTTTGAAAGCGATGCTCCCTTTCATTTTCCCTTTCTCTGTCTACTATCAGATATTAATCCCTGTAGCTACTCTTTCTTGTATGTCTTCATGTTGTATACACTACTTTAGTTGCATTTTATTACCTTTGGTCTGACAACTGCTGCAGCCTCTGACTCTCCTTTCCCTTCTTCCACTTTTCAACTTTCCATTCCACTCTGTATAGATTTATCACATGAAGTATCCTGACATTCAAATCCAATCATGTCATATTCATACTCAAAAACTTTCCAAACTCCCTATTGCGTTCTGAAAAGACAATTCACTTGTTTTCACTCCTTGAACAATTATTCAAAACAAGTATTGAAAGCTTTCCGAAATCTAAACTAAATTTCTTTTCCAAACTTATTCTCACTCTATTCTTCTACACATAGCATCCTTAGAAGTCTGCTCTTCCATGTTTATGTCAGTACCATGAATATGTTCCAGATCTGATTATTTTGTTCTTCTTGAAGTTTCCACTTCTTCTCTGCATCACTACCTATCAATGTTCAAATGTGACTTCTATTATGACATCTTCTTGGATCTCACTGGAAAGCAGTACCTCTGAAACTTCATTGCCCCTTACATTAACAAGCCTGTACTTTATTGTAATACTTGTATGTTTAAGTTCTGTTTTTAATCCTTAAAAGTATGTAACAACTTCTCTTCCCACACATACCATTCATTAACATTGAATGAACTTAGTATACAGAAATAGACGGATAATAGGTATTTTAAATTAATAAGAACAATAACAAAAGAGATATTCATAATGTCAAAAGAGTTAGATTATCAAGATTATTTTTCCTTTTTTTAAAAAAAGCTAAATATAGTTGTGCCTTGAGTGACAAAAATTAATAGTAAATCTTTACATATACTGGTCATTTTTAACTATGGATACAATTTATCACATTGAGGGATTTATTTCCAGGTTAATATTATAAAAATCAAGAAATGGAAACTATTCATCAATTTTAATTATGTCTGCACTAGCAATAAAATGCAGATAAAGATTGTACTATAAGATAGCATTTAAGATATGCCTTTAAAAATGAGTTTTCTTTTTTTCATAAAAATACTACTATTTGATAGATCATAGGGTATGATATTTCTTACAATAATATATGAGATCAACATAATATATAATGAAATTTATAAAATCTAAAATTTATAACATTATAGGAAGTAGCAAGCTATGATTTATATTCACATCAAATGTTTTATAGAAAAAGTACTGTAGACATCTCGGAATAGAAAGATTTTTTTAAGTGAAACTTTTATATAATTATTGATTTCTTATTATTCAATTCTACTGAAAGGCTGCCATTTTTCAGTTCCTTTATTCAGAATGTATCATATGAATAAAGATCCTCGAAATTCTCATAACGGTGATATTTTAAAATGGCTTTTAATAATCTTTTGTGCATTGATTATGTAACTGTTGATATATTTAGAATGAGGCTGTAGGATTTTTTTAAAACTCTTTTTCTTCTTTCCCAAATTCAGAGAAGAGTGATCTTTTAAATATCTCTTATTGTTTTTGTTATGTTTTACAAACTGGAATATATATTAAATTTCCCTTAATATAACTATAAAGATAGTAAATGTACTTTACAGCAGCTGAGTATCTTGTTTTAAAGATACAAATGAGGTCTAAAGAATGGAGTGTCAGTTTTGTCAGTTCGGTTATTTTACTTTTTTCTTTTAAATAATTTCTAATGAATATAACACAAATTTTATAGATAATCTCAAAACTTGGTACCATCTATGTTTACAAGAATGGTATATTTCTTATGTATTTTGTAGTGTTTTGTGTACTGTACACAATGACTAAAATAAAAATAGTACAATGGATTATATAGTTCCTCCTATTCTTTGAAATTTTAGAGTATATTACTGGTGTCAGTTTACCATTATCTTAGAGAAAAATGGATAAAACCTTACAGTATGACTCAATTTTTCTATCTATATATACAGCATCAGCAAGTACAGGGGGAGTCACTAATAATAGGATATTTTAAATCATTTTGAGACTTTTGAATATTATTAGAAATGCAAACTAACAGACTTACAGCTTGTTTAGCTTCAATACCTGAGTTATCTTTTGTTTCTACCAATTTCTATATCATGATGTAAAAATATTTCATTATCAAGTTATGTGATTCTATATAAAGCTAACTTGATTTTTAATAGGCCTTCACACATTATGAAAGAGTCCACTAATTTTCCTTATTTAACAGTTTGCTATAAAAATGTAAGGGAAAAACACAAAATAACTGCTCATTTCATTTTAACATTTTTACATGAAAATTATAATACCACTTAAAAATCCTTAGGATGTTTAACTTTCTAAAATTAGTCTCAGATTTCTGAGAGCTCTGAAAAATAAGACAATTTATTGCTTATATTTAAAATAGCATAGCATGGTGATCAAATGTACTTTAGTGAGAATTTGAAGGCTGACTATGGAGTAATGCCCTGTGGCCCAATTAACATTTTAAGTCCCACCTACTGGGTCTGTCTCCTCTGTTCCCACATAACAACAAAAATTGTGCATTTAGTTTTTGTTGTATCAAAGAACAAAGACAAAATACATTTCTGAACTTGAATTTTCAGATCATAATAGCATCTTGTCTCCTTGGTGTTTCTTTCATTTTACCAACTGGGTGACTTGTTGAAGGGAATAAAGAGAGAAGGCTTCATAGAGGGGAGGCCACCGATATCATTGGCAAGAGAAGCGCACGACAAATGAGATATTGTACAGGCAAACACAAAATGAGCTTTCACGCAGGGTTCTGTCAGTGTCATTCAGCTTTGCCTGAATGGATAACCCTCTCATGATTTATCTTCCATTCATCAAGTCAATGCCTGGTATCTTTTCAGTTGTGATGGATAAGACCTTACTAAATTGACTACTGCCTGCTGAGCATTGTGGAGCCTGAGAACTGAACAGGAAGGGGGATCCAACCATATTTCATTCATATAGTAAGTCAGCCATGCTCAGTAGATCTAAGGACTGAGAATTATAAAGAACCTTGTTTCAACTGGCTCAAGGGTCTAGACCAGAGAGTGGTCAAGGATCTATCCAGTTTCCTGATTTTGAAAGTGAAGAAGGAATAGAGGTTGTTAGGGGTTGCCATTATAGGCCATCTGGAACACTGAAAATGAGTTTACTAGAAAGAAAATACTATTCCTTCAGGTCTTATTCCAGATGACAGGTATTTAGCCAAATCTTTTCAAATATCACACTTATTTTATCATAAAAAGAACCATATCAGGTATCCATTATTGCCTATAAATAACAGAAAGAGGCTAAACGTTGTTAAGCCCTATTACAGCAGTAAGCTTATTTTCCTCTTTTAGTTAGCTTTTAGAAGACTATCAAGTTCAGTAAATGTCTGTGGATAGATGGAGGGATGGACATAGAAAGAGATGGAGGGAGAGAGGAAGAAAGGAAAGAAATGGAAGGAAGAAAAGAAATCGGAAGAAAAGAAATCGAAATTCCAATATTGGACTTAAGATTTAAAGTGTGAGTATACATTTCTAAGTACTGTATATTTTTTCCACTTTAATAAAAATCAACGCTAAAATTTTCTGAAGTACTTTTTCAAATGTGAAAAGGGTAAGTACAGTGTATCTACTTAAAACTCTTTCACAAATATCACATCCTTTCAGCCCCTAGAAAATTTTTTTCTGATTTCTCCTCATATTTAAAGGCATAGATCAATTATTTAATTCCAAAAGTATGAATTTGTAATAGAGTGTTTATATAAATGCTATATTCGTTGAATAATTTTCTTCAGACACAGTTTCTCTATTAGAGTTTTGAACTTCAGATATTCTTTAAAAATATATTAAATGTCCATTTTCCATAAAGTCATGACAATAAAATGCCAGTGTACATTCTTAAAATCACTGTCTCGTATAAACACATTCAAACATGTGGATATCAAAAATGAGGAATGCCTGCATGAAATAGGGACTATTATAGCCATATATTACCAAAAGCAAAGAAAAACATTAGCAAACACAAATACACAAAACACATAACATGAAAAACAGAACATCATATATATTAATGCTGTGGAAATTGATTAAATATATTACTTATTTGTACATTCACAAAGAATTACTTGAAAAGTTAAGTTCCAAGGGAAAAAATATTTTCACTTTTTATATTTTTGTGTCTGCTTTTAAAATTTAATTAACAGATTACTAAAGATATTACATCAATACCATATGGAAAAAGATACTAGAAGATCATTAATTCTTATGAAACATGTTATCAAGAGTTATTCATAGGTGAAATGGATTCATTTAAACACACGCAACATAGGAATAAAATATGTTTCTCTTTTATATTTCCAACAAGGAGAAATATTGAAACCTGATTACAAATTGATATACCTTTTGTTTGAAGAGTTAGCTAAGTTTCTAAGCACAACGCATTGGCATGTCTAAGCCTTTGTATTTTACATGGACCTGGGAGTTGGGCCCAGGTGGTCAGGAAGAACATACCCTATGTTGTCATGACAAATATTATGTGAAAGAAAACACTAGCGACAAAAAGAGATAGTGGGAAATGAAGTTAAAGTAAGTGATAGACTTGTAGTTTATTTTTAGATTTTTAAGCTAAGCTGTCTCCTACTTACATTTGTTTTGAGTTTTCACTTTTTGTTTACCAAATAGAATGTACTTTCTGTAGCAAGCAAATTAAGCAAAAATATCCCCCTCTGACATCTTAAAGCATAGAGAATATTCCAAAAAAATAGGTCGAATGTATAAGGAATGTCTACAGACAAAAGCTTGTGCGTGCACACACACACACACACACACACACACACACTCACACAAATAATGCCAAGGTAAATTAAACTGACTGATCTCCACAACCTCCTTTTCTAGGGTTTAGTGTAAAACTTATTTAAGAGCCAATAACGCTGTTGATTTTTATAAATTTCTTTGATTCTTTCCTTCTGACTTGGCCTGTAATTATTTTTCTATCTTAATCAGTTTCCCTAAAGAATGTGTTATGGATTGTATAAAGACATGAACTACAGCCAGTTTCAAGTTATTTGTGTAAATAGTAAAAAATTGACTAGGAGGACTTTAATAGCATAGTGTAAAATAATGTTTTGGAATTGTCTTAGTGTATGAATTGTGCCTCTTCTCTCTGTTCTGTTATTAAAGGAGATAGTCAACAATGAGCCAGTTTGATTTTGTTAAATTGGCATTATAAGGTATTTTTGTTATGATGGTATTTTTTACTGCCAACCTTAATTCGTGTAGAGAAAAGAATTAGTGGTCCATGTTATTTTTGCTCCCTTAAGAGAATAAAACTGCTAACAGCTCATGTTACCCGCCACATACCCCAAAGCTCACAAATTAGTTTTATTCAACAAATATTTATTGAGTGCTTTCTATGTGCCAGATGTTGTTCTGGGAAATCGGGATACCTCACTGAACAGTACACAGATAGCCCTGATATCCAGGAGCTTATATTTTGGGGGTAGAAAGGAGCACAAATTGCAATTTTATGGAAATCACTATTAATATCAACCAAGATTTGGAAAGGCAGGCTACTTCAATATGTTTTGATCATTTATCGATGTGTCTGCTGTTTAACAAATCCTCAGGGCTTTCTATTTTTTTTACACAAAATAATTTTGGGGAGCATTGACACAAATAATCAGAGCATCCAAATTTATAATGATTAAGGTTATCAAGTAAATAAAAACGACACTGGGTATACTTAGAACAAGATCTAGTTTTTAGCCTCAATCTGTGTCATCTTTCTGAGCTTCATATAGTCATGCATCTTTCTTAAACTGCATTGAAAAAGTACATGGTGATTAGGACCATCTGCCCTGACTACTAGGAAGTGTTATTAGCATCATATGACAGAATGTCTAAGGCAGTACTTACAATGGATGAAGAACGAGGCAACTTACCAAGCATCTTAAGACAATGCCTGCATTCAGTGGGCACTCTCCATATATCTTTGGATGAATGAATAAACGAGGGAAGAAAAACAAATTTTCAGCACTATTTGTACCATTCCTGGCTGACCTGCCTGTTGAATGTCTGGTCTTTCAGTCCAAGCTTAGTTTTAAAAGTAAAAATGTCAATTCCTCACTCCAGGACTGCACAGAATACATTTTTTACACATTCTAGATTCACCTGAGTGTTTTTGGTGGATGTGTCTTGTTGAAATAAACAAACAAAAATCCTGTGTGCATTAATAATGATTAACATATTGGTTATTAAATTATGATAATCAGCGTGCTCTTTGAGTACTGTTAGTTCTTCAAAGAGGCTTAGCTTATATATTTCAGAGTTAGCATAAGTATCCTGCCATATGATATACTTAGAATAAATGAGGACTTAGCAGCTGCTGAAGAATTAAGATGTAACAAAATCTCCATAAGGCTTAATACAAATTTTATTTTTCTTCAAATATTGTGGTTTTATTTTATATCTACAATTACTTATCTCCTCATCAAGCTTAATATTTTACTTTTTGTCTGATAGAGTGAAGAATAACTAAAACTAAAGGTTCCAAAACAAGTAATTTCTCTGACCAAGATTGCAAATATCAAAGACCTGGCAACAGGGGGTGGAAAATGGAAGACAGAAAATCCGTATTTGGTTGCACTGTCACTTGGCTTCAGCCTAAATCTCAGTTATGTGATCAACCACGCATGTGAACAAAGAAGACATTCTCACAGGAGAGGAGGGATTTCTGATGGAAATCACAGAGAAAAAAGAATATGGTTTGAAAAAAGCAAGAAGATGGGTGTCAGGGCCTTGTGGGTTTTGCTAAACGGGTAGACACCCCCATCCTCTTTGCAGCAATTCTTTTCTTCTTAATCTCCAACTTTCTTGTTCAGAATGCATTAAACCCAATCCAGAGTCTCTTGTAAGGGAAAGTTTTGTATATTTTTGATGTCTGTGGGAAAGAAGTGCCCCTGCAGAGGCTGTATTTAAGAAGATATTTTAGAAGCATTTTCTCGAGGGGGGAAATGGTTTTCATTTAAGAGGAATACTTACTTTGCCATTAGTTTGTTAGCATGAAATTGCAGAACTATGTATTAGATGATTTTCTCATCTCTCACAGTTTAATGTGTCTCTATACAAATTAGCTATCCAACTCTCTCTCCAGCCAAAGAACATGGCATCTTCAAAAGAAATATCATGGATATGAATGGTAGCAGGTTGGTTGTTTGCCTTTAGCTACTCCTGTGAAGAAATTAGGGAAATATTTTTACAGGTAAAAATACACAAAACAATGAAAAAGATGAGGTGATAGTCAATTGAATCAATAACATTATACCAACATATTTAATTTACATTTACTATGGAAAAAAATACACAAAAATGTGGAAAAACAAAATACCACAGCCCACCCAGAAAGGAAAAAAAATTTGTTTACCAGACAACACAGTCAATGTTTATTCTACTTGTAGTTGGAAAAAACACAATTAACTCTCTGAAATTTTGTGAATCACTGTGATATATAAGGCATGTTAATAGATCCTCATTCAACAAATACACTCAGTACTGAAGGGCTGATTTAACTCATTTGCATCATGAACTAAATAGAATTATAGGTCTTGAGAACCTTGATATTTAAAATGTAATGCGCACACAGTTAGCTCTTCTTTCCTTTTTCTCTCATATTTACACTAAACACATTCACTTCCATCATGGTCATTAAAACTTAGGTAAGTAGTTGAAAATGTGAAGAATGTAAAATAAAATAATTAAAATGTGTTTAATCCAAAATCAAAGCATTTTATAACATTTTATATATTCAATGTGTTGGGTAAAGTAGAAGAAAGTCAAATGGCTAATTCAAGATTTAACTGTTTCCATGTGAGTTAGGGATTGGGAGTGGAGGCAGTCAGTGAGGGAATAGAAAGGAGAAGGGAAAGGAAATGCTTTTTATTGTTTTATTCAGACACCTACACAGGCACAAAGAGTTCTCTATACTCATATAAATTGCTCCATGCAGCACGCTAAACACACTGCTTAATTGCAAAATAATAACTTCCCATTTTAGATTTTAAGAATAAACAAAAGCAAAAACAAAATCTTTTAGGAAACACTAGGGTTTAATATGATTTATTGTTCCTTAGTTTTTTTGACTTGTGCTACCATGCTGTAAAAAGTATTGAGAGTCTATCCACTTCCTGTCTCAAATTAGAACACACTAACTACTCAGTCACAAAAGAATTAATTGTATCGGAATTGGCTTAAAGGTTAACTTTTCAGTATTGTCTATCTTACCTTACAAATTTTAATGAAGGCTTTGCTGATATATGTCGTAACATCAGTGTAGTGATAATTATTAATGTTAGCAACCCAATGCAAAATCTTTAAAAAGAGTCACCCAATAGGAATCTTAATGTGAACATATTCTATTATTTTTCTGGTGAGATTGCCTTCAACCTCCAAGATATTCCAAATTAAGTTGGCATGTTACTTATCATAAATAAAAACATGAGAAATATCTGTGTCCTGAGAAAAAGGAACATATAATAAATGTCATTGATAAATTATATTTTTGATCTAAATTTATTCAAACAATAATGTCAAAAGTAAATATTTCTACCCTATATTACTGAGGAGAATTGAGCCTTCATCCTAGCATTTCTATCTAAATCATCTATTAGGTGTGGATAGCCATTTCTTTATTGCCACTGAATATCTGATGAAGTTTTTCATCAATTCCATTGGTGTTTATATTGAAAATCCTGCCACATGTTCCTGGTAACCCTTTTATGATGATGATAATGATATAAGGACTAACATATGGAATGTGTAGTTTGGGCCAGTTACTATTACAAGCACTTTACATACATTAGATAACCTAAATCTACTTTAACAGAAACTGAAGAGACAAGTAAAACTCTTATTGGTCCTTTTAAAATGTAAATAAATAAAATTGTCATTTTTGTAGTGAAAACATTTGGAATTATTTTCATATGTTTCATCTTAATATAAAATACGTATTGGTTTTATTTGACTTTTAAAGGTGATAACATATAAGTGTGTAATAGGCAAATATACATCCATGTAAAATTTTATAAACAAGAAAATTTATCAAGGCAAGAGTTTTATTGAACAATAAAGTTTGTGCATTATGATTTTGTTTCATAAGATATTTTAAAATGTAGCCATTTTATTGGCCTTTAGTCAGTTTGCATACACTGCTTATTAATGACTCTTATTCAACCAACTAATCATCCTTTCAAATGAGATCAACATATTTTCACATTTTTATTGATCTCAGGTTTACAAAATCTCTCCACTACTTACCAGCAACATAATTATAAATTATGTTAGCTAAAAGCTGACAGTAGTTTATTATTTCAGTAAATGGATGCCCAGAGTCAAAAGAGAAACCCAAACAGATTAACAATGAGAATTATCTAGTTGTTCTGATACAGTACCGGAAAATAGGCTCCACACTGTGGGCACCAATATCATTGAGGATGGTGAAGAAATGGATGCTGATTAATTTTTTCTCAATTATATTTTTCTTATCTTCATTATTAGGAATAAAAATAGAACACTTTCTTGTTTTCCAGCATGAGCATTTGTTTGTTTGTTTGCATAGTCATTTAACAATATGTAAAGCTACTATGATACTCTACAGCTTAAAAAGACTAAAGAGACTGCTAATTCTAATAAAAAATTATTCCAATTTTATAATTAGAAAGCAAGTCATAAGTAATTGAGTCAACAGAACTTAATGGCATTTTAAGTAATTAGATTTGATCATCAGAGCAAAAACATTTTAACAACAGAAGCTTGTTTCCTAGGAAAACTTAATATTGTCTCATCTAGGACAAATGTTTTAAAATATTTTTAGCATATGCCCTATAAGGTTCAAAGACAGAATTTCCTATCATCAATCATTCTCTTGGCTAATAATGAGCCAATCTTAACCATAAAATATAGATCAGATTTGTTGCCCTCACATTTAGAGTTTCAGGTTCTCCTCCTGCACTGATTACAGTATTGCCATGCCTAAAGGAGAGGTCTTAGAAGAAAAGAACAAGGATCCATTAATCATGAATCATTACATTTTGTCAGTTGGCAAAGGAATACTTTGCTCATTTATCCTTTGAATGAAATTAGCTCTGGCTCAGGCCCTTGTAGAAGGAAATTTTAAATTGTCTTGGCATCTTCCTACAGCAGTTTGTGTATGTGCCATAAAATGGCAGATGGGGTTTATTAATGGCAGATGAGTTTAGTTTGCAAGTTTCTTTTTATTTTTCTATTTGATAATTTTAATATTGAAGCTCAGATATGACTCATATATTATTGCTGTTCATCTATAACTATATGTTTTATCTTATTAATGAAAGGAAAAAGAGAAATCTGGTAATGTTTATGTTTCCAAATATGAGCAAGCTCTTTCTTCTTTGTGTCATAGACAAAACGGGCACATATTTTCTTAGGTTTAAGTATCCTAGTGGAACGAAATCATCAAAATTGTTGAAAATATTTACAAGAAGTATGTGAAGATGATAATTTACTCATAAACAGCAGTAAGCCATTGATAGAATTATATGAAGATTATAGTCACATGAATTTATGTTTAATGGACATTTGAGGGAGTTTTGAAAAACTATGTTCTCTCATGAATAAATTTGACATAAGTTTTACTGCCTTTACACAGTTCTAAATAGGGAAGATTTGTACATTTTTACTATTAAACACTAAAAATTAAGCTATATAACTGAAATAATGGCGTATCCTATAGGTGTATTAATCAGCAGTTGAGTCCCACCTTATCAACTGTGCTTCTGCAGTGGGGTAGATAGACACAAGAATCTACTGGATGAGGGCTTGGCCAGCGGCAATCTAATGTGGAACAGGAGGTATCTCCTCAAATACATACCTAATTTCACGGAAGTGGCAGAAGTGCTAGAGGAAATACACATACAAAAGTGTCTTATAATCTATAGAGAACTATAGGCATGAAATCTGTTATTCAACCTAAAACCAACAGATGTAAGGACTTTACAAATTATTATTAAAAATGTTTATACTGAGCATCCCTATGTTGGACTTGGTGGAAGCTGATGGTGAAAATTTCATTTCAACGATTTAAAACATACTTTTGACTTGCTTTGAAGATGATTAAAGTATGTTAAGAATCATAAGCTACACACTTAAAAATATTTCAGAGCAAAGTAAAAAGGAAATGGTATTTAAAATAACTCTTAATCAAAGAAAATCTGTGACCGAATGCATCTCCCTAATAAGCAAGTGAAGCCTCAGCACAATTCATGCTTACAAGAAAGGATAAAGTAATAAGCCATTTGTTTTCCTAAGGTGCCTTGAAATAGGAATTAGTGTCTATTATAAGAAATCATTTAGATATTTTTAAGAGGGATATTTGTTTTTACAACTTATGTCTTAACATCAACCAGCCAAGTGTATGGACTAGGTTCTTAGTTCATCAAACACATTCTTACTGTGTATACTTAGCACATATTTTTATTTTAATATAATGGAAATAGATAAGCTTAAATTTGGTAGCAGCCTTAAACAATAAAAAAGTGACATATCAAGATAAGAGTTAAAATGTTAAAACATATTTAAGTACAATTCTGTAGATATTACTGAATAACGATTAAAAGCCAATCATTTCCCATCATGACACACAGAAAGCCACTTAACAATTTAAACCAAGATCCAAACGCATCCAAGTTTCTTTTATGTTTTTTTTCCTGGCCATCCTAATGTTGGATTCAGAATCAATCTGTCCATACTACCATCAATTACTTTTTTATGGATATAATATAACTTTTTCTAGTATCTGGAGAAGAATAAGACATATTTTATGTTTATGAAGGATATGGTTCCACTATTAAGGAAGTTTTTGCTTCTGTTTCATAAATCATTATTGAATCATAACATAACTGTGCACCTAGACAGACCTATAAAGTATGTGTTCTGATTCTTGTTACCACTATGTATACTCCTAAAGTACTAATCCATGTGTGTAAAGGACGTTGCTTATCTCCACATAAACACAAAAGGTCAGGATCCAGCCATTAATTTCCTCTATATTTAAGATGGTAAAGAAATACGTATCACACTTTGGCTGCCAAAAGATAATGGAATTTCCCAAAATCTCATTACTTACAAATGTAATGATAGTCTTCTTAAAGTGAAATAGCAGAAAAGGAAGTGCTATGTTGCTGGAAAAACTAGTATTGTAAATAGATATCACTACACATTACTATTTATGTCAATATTTCACATAAGGAATAAATTTCTTTTATATTTGGGACCTGATTTAGGATTACACAAATGATAGAATTATCTTCCTCTCCATATTGGAGGCTATGCATATTTTCCCCTGAATAATTTTCTTTTTTCCTGCCTTTAAGTAACGTAACCCTGACTTCCAATCCTACCTTGCTCCTCTTCCACAAGGTCTTGGGATGCTGGATTGATACAGGGACATAGACATAGGGTCCCAGACATACAAGTACAAGTGAAGCCCAGAATTTTTGCAAGAGTGAAAATAATAACAAATACATATTTATTATATGCCAGGATCTGACCTATTTTCCATGCATTCAATTTTTTAATCCTCATGGTAATTCCACGAGGTATTAGGAAAATGATATGATCTTCCCATTTAAGGTCGAAATCTAAAAAAATTGCAAGTCTTTTCTTCCTGGGGCCCTGCAGGAAGAGTGTCTGCCTGAGAATGGTACCCACACAGAGAAAAGCTGAACTGAGTCTTGAAAAGAGATCATGTTTTAATGATATTGTTTGATCTCCTGGATCTAAATGTGACAGAAGTCAGCCAATTCAAAAAGTAAAATTAAGCGATAACAATGTTCTAGGTATTACACAGAATAATTTTGTGTATCAAATGCCACAATGAATGCAAAACTCGACATTGATACTTATCGTTAGAGTCACTATACAAAGTATTGAAAACTAATCACTATTTTTTCCAATGATATTCAAAATTTAATGAAGATCCAAACATTTAATTAAAAAAATGAAACTATGAGTTAGCAGAATTCCCAGTTTGTGCAGGATTTTATGGCAGGGACAAAGTCTCCCTGAGGCCCTTCAAATCACACCATGTTCATATTGAGCACTTACCATGGGGAAATTACTACAGAAAAGAGAGATGGCAAAGTCATAAATCTACAGGGGCCCAGTCGTGTGCAAATGAGTGAATTAAACCACGTTTTGAAAGCTCAGTTAAGAGATCAAGAGAGACAAAGCTGGGTGGCTGGCAAGATGGCCGAATAGGAACAGCTCGGGTCTGCACCTCCCAGGAGATCAACGCAGAAGGTGGGTGATTTCTGCATTTCCAACTGAGCTACCCACTTCATCTCATTGAGACTGGTTAGACAAGGGGTGCAACCCACGGAGGGCAAGCCGAAGGAGGGTGGGGCTAGGGGAACTCCTTCCCCTAGCCAAGAGAAGCCCTGAGTTTTCATGGGACTTTTCAAACTCCCGAAAGCAAATGCGACTGAAGTTTGCCAGTTAAAACATAATGAATGATGAGGATTACAGTGAAGCAGAGAATATACTTCTTGGCTTCCTGCCTAAAATATTTCCAAACATTATGCTTTAAAAAAAAAAATAAAATGGAAATTTTTATTGAAAATATTCCAATTCTTAAAAGTTGGCACAATGTAATTTTTTAAGTATGGGCACCAAAGCCAAACCAAAGCCACGGCAAAAACATGTTCCGGATGTGGGCCGGTAATAGTAAAGAACACAGACATGATCAACTGTAAGTTATACATTTACAATTTGAAAGGTGTCTTTTCATTTTTGTTTTGTTTAATTATTAAAATAATCCACTGGAAAATTATCTTCAGTTTATAGATGAGAAAACAGAAGTCAAAAGAAGTAAAGTAAATTGTTCCGGTAATGTAGCTGAAAGATTGCAGAGTTTACACTCATGCTCTAACCCAAAATGAATTTGAAATAGATTTGAAAATTCAGTACAAAGTTTAAAGAAGTCCCTGATATAGCTTTATTATTTATCAACATATTTACTTATCTTGTTATACAACAAATATGTACTGGGCAACTGCCATGTGTCAGGCACTCTAAACACTGAGAAACTTTCAGATTAAAGATAGTAAGGCTACAATGAGACAGAGGAACATTCTTTTTGAATCTTACTTTTTAATTATTATAGAAGCTTATGCAATTGCAGATAGGACTGGCAGAAAAATGTTAGGCTTAAAGGTAGAGGATGTTGAATGCGGAAATAAGTGATTTTGACTTAGAGTAGTTGAAAACGTGGCTTATACACGAAATTGTCATAAACATTAGTAGATGTTTGAGCCATTACAAATTTTTATCAAAGGAGTAAAACAGAAGTCTCTTAATCTGTGAGTTATGAGCTTTTGTGAACTGTCCTGATTTTTGTTTAAAAGTTTATAAGTGCACCTGCATGCATGTGAATGTTTTTCTGGAGACAGGGCTCAGGATTTCCACATATTTTTGAAGGATTCTGTGACCACAAGGTTAATAAAAGCTAGAGTTGAGTTTTTCCTTAAGAAAATTAATCTAGCAGCCATAGGGAAAGAGGAGACTACCAAAGGCCACTTGAGAGATGACTAAGTATACTAGTCCTGGTAAGAAGTAATTGAAACTTTGGCTAAGAAAGGAGAATCATTAACAGATGAATTAATGTCAGTAAAACTTGGTTTCTTCTATTCTTCCCTCACTTTTCTTCTTTCCTCCCTCTTTCCGTTACTTCCTTTATTCTTGCCTTTTTTAACCCTATACTGAAGACTTCACACAGCTTCTTACAAGAACCAATTGTGAACATCTTTTCCAAACTGCTCAGTAATGTAATTTTTGTAACTAAAAATCAGCTATGGATGGGAGCATTTACACCAATTAAAATGGAAAACACTAGAAACCAGGTTTTCCCACCTGTAGAAATGATTGTTAAACATTTACAGATACACAACTTCTCTCTTCCTTCCTCTCTTTCTCCTTCCTTCCCTTCTTCCCTTTCTTCTTTCCTTCCCTCCCACCCTCCCTTCCCTCCTTCCTTCCTTTCTTCCTTTCTTCCTTCCTCCCTCCCTCCCTTCCATTCTGCCTTCCTTCCCTACATCCCTTTTTAAACTTCCTTCCTTCTTTATTTATTATCCAGTTTCTAATCCACATTTCTGCTTGATTTATACAAGATCAGGAAGAAAGTGGACATGTAGCACGTATGTTGAAAAAATCAAATTAAATAATTTGAATAATATTGAGCACATTGAACTAAGTTCTGTATGTAATCATCCATATTGCATATTAACCACCAATGAGGCATTCTATCTTCAAATGTATTTCAGTCATCTTCTGAAAATGTTTACTTCTTTGTAAACAATATTTTGGCCTTGATTAATTTTCTTGGTGAATGCAATATAACATCACAGAATTTAAACATGTCTAAATAAATAGCGCTCAGTCTCTGAAAGAACAATGAAGTCAAAACACAAGATTTCAAGTCCTAGCTGTGCCACCTAATAAATCTGTGACATTGATCAAGTGACTACATCTTTTTGTGCATTAGCCTCTTAATAAATATGGATTGCTAATTTGTTTCTAGCTCTAAAACTCAAAAACTGTGCAAGTATAGAATGTTTGATGTAAATGTTTTTCCGTATTACATAATATATCTGTGCTGACACAAAATATAATCAAACAGTCCAGTACTTAATTTACATTATCACTTAAGATATTATCAGTAAGAAGTAAGAGAGTGAGGCTACTGTGTCTATACCACAGACTATACCGAATTATATCTAAATGTGATCTTCTAAATGCCTGCACCTTCTTTGAATGATAATACTTATGTATAACTTTTAATACCTATGCATTCATTGGCCAATATCTTCAATCTTATTTATCAAATTTCTGTGATGTTTCTCTCAGTTACATGTAATCATATAGCTTTCTGAATATTCACTGTAGATTCTTGTTTTTAATCTTCTCTAATTTTCCTTCTGTGGAGGAAAAAGTTTCCATAAAATAAACTTTAAGAATCAGGAAAATGAGAATATGAATTCTATAAAATGAAATAACTATATATGTATTTACATACGCATATGTAAATAAGATGAAAAGAAAACACAATGGAAGTTTTTTTATTTAACATATTGAGGTTTTACATATGTCAAAAAGGGCAGGTTAACAATTACTAAAAGAAAAAATGCAAAACAAAAAATTGTGTTATCGATGGCTGTCCCTTTTTTTCCCCAAATAGTAAAATTTAAAAGCACTTATTTAAAATATAAAAGCAAATGTTTTAAAAGAAAATAACCTATATTTACTTAAATGCATATGTTTACTATCTTTGGTTCCATTCCTAAAATTAGAAAGTGTTCTTGCCTCTAACTGGATGAAACATGCAGGCTTTCAGTATTGCATTGTTGCTGTTACCTTTAATTTAATTATGTTAGTGTACTGAAGAGTTGTATAGATTTACTGGGTATTATTATAAATGTCATTTTAACTCTGAAGTTGGACATTAAAATGTCAGTTTTTTGCTTTTAGGTTAATAAAATGTTTTTACAGGAACAAGAATGGTGATATAAAATGCAATGCATAAACCCATTTTGATATGCACTTCATGTAATCACAGAAACTACTCCATAAACAATCTATTTAACTTGTTTCTCCTGACAAAGTTGTACTAGAAGCTCTTACTTTTAGCATCATTATAGTGAGCAATATAGCCTTACTGCCTAGTTTATTCTATACTGGACAATTTCAGAATCTTCGAGGACTACAGAATCATTTCCTTCATTCCTACTTTGCTAGTGATACAATCATCTGTCTGATAGGAGGGCTATTAGGGAAGATAGCAAAGTGGCTAGGGTATCTTTTGAGGCTGCTAAAACATAAAGTGGCATCAGATAGTGACTGAGCATCATTATATAAAATTGGAATCCTGCACCCTAGAGACCTCTCACTTGATCAGGTACCTATTTATGCCTCCTTGCAATACTTACTTTCAAGATAGAACAGAAAGCTTTAGTCTGCCAGATAATTACAGATTACCAAATTACTTGTGTTTTTGTTAAGTGCATGAGTATAAGTGTAAAACATTAATGTGTAAACATGAGAAAACCAAAGATCCCCTGATTCTGATGGGGCAGTGCTAGTCATTTATAAGCAAAGTCAAGATCTCCTTCAGCCTCAATTACTCAATTAGAATGCTGGTGGTTGCTGCGGATGACTTAGTTCATAGCCACAGGAAAATAGAAGAAATGTACGAAGGAGGAAGAACTGGGGTGGGAGCAGGGGAAGCAGCTACAATAGATGAAGGAATAGAGAAATTTTATCGATCTACCTTTACTATATTTAATAACTAATTTTATGGAGACAGACTATTTTATGTAATAGTCTGACCTATTTTTGATGCTTTGCTGCTGGCAAATTTTGAGCCTCGGCCTTCCCTCTTCCCCTTCTGCCTGTCCAACATGTGGGAAATCTGACAAGAATGCCTGATGCTTCCTATTTTGGTGACGGCAAGAAGTTCAAACAACACAAGCTCCTGCCACACATGGAAATCCTCACCATGGACCCACCCCTTAACCATCATAAAAACCCTGAAGCTAGTAACCTTATTTAGCTCTCTCAAGCCACCTTTGGACCTGCTTGGAAGGCCTGCCATGTTCTCCCTGGAAAGCCCTATTAGGTAAGGAATAAACCCTTTTCATACGCTTTTGGTGTGTGTCTGGTGTCATCATTCTTGACATCCAAACTTCATTTTGGGTAGGGTTTCACCCTAATTCTATAAAGTGGCTACACAGAAACAAAAATTTGTAAGAAAAAATCAATGACCAAGAAGTTGGTAGACATTTTCAATGATTTCAAATGATTGATGATGTCTAAATTATAAAATCATCGACTATTATCCTTTGCAATCATAGTAGTTCTTTTCATTTCTCTTTCAAATTTTATGTAATATTCTTGCCCAGTGGAGATCCTGATGAATATTAATGCTTTGCCAAGAAATATTCATACAACATTTAGCAAGATGACATATTTAAGAGAGAAAAATTACCATTTTCTTTATATATTAGTTTTTTAAGGCTGCTGTAAGAAGTTGGCACAAATTCAGTGGCTGAAAACAACAGCAATTTATTTTCTCACAGTTCTAGAAGTCAGTAGTCTGAAATCAGAGTACAAGCATGGAAGCTAAAGTCGCTCTGGAGGCTCCAAGGGAGTTGGCTTTTTCCCTTGTCTCTTTGTTTTTTGTGGTTATCAGCATCCCTTGGCTTTGACTTTATCTCTTTCTGCTCTCTCTCTCTTTTTTTTTTTTTTTTTTTTTTTTTTACAGATTCTTGCTCTATCGCCCAGGCTGAAGTGCAATGGCACAATCTCGGCTCATTGTAACCCCTGCCTCCCAGGTTCAAGTGATTCTCCTGCCTCAGCCTCCCCAGTAGCTGGGATTACAGGGGACCGCCACCACGCCCAGCCAATTTTTGTATTTTTATTAGAGACGGGGTTTCACCATGTTGGCCTGGCTAGTCTTGAACTCCTGACCTCATGATCCACCCGCCTCGGCCTCCCAGAGTGCTGGGATGACAGGAGTGAGCCACCCCTCCCGGCCTCTACTCTCTTTTATGTCGCCTTTTCCGTTGCATATCTGTGTCCTCCTTTATGTATTCCTCTTCTACTGCCTACTTCTTAAAATGACACTAGTAACTACTTTTATATCCCCATCGATAATCCAAGCTAAACTATTCTTCTCAAAGTCTTAACTTAATCACATATTTTTCCATACAAGATAATGTATACTCTTTTACCATATAAGTTAGTATTCCGAGGTTCTGGGGATTAGGATGTGGATACATATGTTGGAGGGTGCCACTATTCATTCACAACACCTTCGCTAATATTAATAGATACAAAACACCAAGGAAGCTTTCCCCTGTACCAGTGCCATGTTGAGACAGAGAATATTTGGACCTCTTCCTTCGTTGAATTTATGGGAAGAATTCAGTTAATGTGAAGACAAACATAATAATTAACATGGATTTACCCAGATGACTTCAAAACTTATCTCACCTGTTTATGACCTTTTTCATACTCTTTGATTGTTGTAATGAACCACCTGGTATTCACTCTATAAGCCCTAAATTTCTGCACCCAGAATTCTTTCAGAACAGTTCATTTAGCTCACAGTGTCCTTCTTTCTATCATGTAGTGTTCATATTGTATTATCCTGTATGATTTGTTAAAAAACCAACTGTTTAATCAAGTCTAACTAAACTATAAATTAATTAAGGGAATAAGTTCTACTAATCACTTTTTTTCAATACTAACATAATTGTTTTACATACTGTTACATAAATATTTAATGAAGTGATGAGTTGAAAGTGTCAATTTTTTCTTAAAGCTACAAATTTATTTCTGGACTCCATCCAAAGCACTCCCTATCTTTGATTTTTATTCATGACTACACTAGATTTCCTATATGACTGAGTGCGTCTCATACTTGCTCTTTAGGCTGCTTCCTTGGATCACCTTTAGGTTGAGTTAGGGTTTTCTAAGTCCCCAATTTCAAATACGTGTTGTCCATGTCTGTAGGATTACTAAGCATTCCCCTATAGGATTCTGACCTGATTCTTTCATTCTAAGAGTCTGAGTTCTCTTGAATCACCAAAACTTAACTTTTAATATCATCTTTATGTCTCCTGCATATTCCTAGATTCAGATAAATGAGGTAGATTGGCCACATTTTCTAGTGAGGTCAAACAGATTATCCCATCCAGCTCCTTGAACTTAGATCCCAACTGCTTGTCATAGAAAGAAACAGACCAACACTTTCCAAAACAGAAACACACAAAATCCTTACTTCCATCCGTTGGGGGAAATTGGATGGCTATGTTGAGACTAGAAGAGGCTATGTAACATTACCTTGCTCCCACTGGGAACAATCCTTATTTGACCTTCATTTGTGTCATGGGCTCCCTAAAGGAGGAGCTGTGTGGCTGCCTTCCCATTGTGCAGGCTGTAGAGAAAAGCATCCTCCTTGCCACTAATGGCGTTGGGTTCAGATAATCTGGGACCAATTTTCTCCTATGCTGCTGACTTACTTTATGACTTGGGCAAGTCGCAGACTATCTCTGGTCCTCTGTGTCCAGAGAGAGTTGGATTCAACGACAGAACTGACACTATTCATGACTATTGTTTAAACATGATATAATTTAATACTATTTACCTCATCCTAGACTCATTAAATAGGTAATGTACTAAGCATTATGTTCCATGTTGTGATAAAGGGGACATAATTGCTGCACTCAAGAAACTCAGTTCCTCAGAGCCCAGTGAAGAAGACAGAGAAGTAAGTAAATTATTAGTAGTACAGATATTATGGTGAGGATTATTGAGGTTTTAGTATCAGTGCCTAGAAAGACATAGCAGATGCCATGGAAAGACAAATAAAAAATAGTGAACATATTTGGGATAAGAAAATACTTGGAGAGAGATTGGCAAGTGATCTGAAATTTAAAAGACACTATCCAGATAAAGAAAGCACAGGGACAGAATCTCAGGCAAAGGCAATAGAATATACTAAACCATGGAGGCAAGAAAATATGATACATGCAGAGAAGTAGTATATTCATTTTTAACTTTCCAACAAATATTTATCGATCACTTATACTCCAGATACTAGTTATGCAATAATTTATAAGGCAAACAGTGTGTCATCACAGATGGTACAGCTCAGTGTTCAGAAGATAATTGCAGCTTACAGCAATTACTGCCAGCTGTCAGTGTGAAGATTCGAGCCTGGGAAGAGATGAAGCTATGGCGGTGGAGGGACAGAAGTACAAAAACCTGATCTGCTGTACTAAGGGACTTATATTGCATTCAGTGGGCAATAATCACAAAGCAGTAATAATTGATTATAAGCAAAGTAAAAATGTAATGAAATTATGTTTTCAAAATATCACTCTGTGGCCAAGAAAATAGCAGATTGAAAGGAGATATTACTAGAGAACTAGAAATTTATTAGGAGACGACCACAAGAATCCAAGAAGTGAATTATGGATGTTAACGTAAGATACTGAATGTAAAGTTATTTTAAAAAAAGAGAACCCAAAGGAGTTGAAAATGTCTTGTCTTTAAAGTGTCATAGAAGAGTCTGACATGGGTGGCAGATTTTATTGATTTGACTATTCAATAAACACTTATTGTTACTACTAATAATCTAATAGTACAGAGCTAATATAGATTCTAACCATATATGAATAAAATCAACAAAAAAATTAGCCCGTATGAACCTTCTATCCAGTTTAGTGGAAACGAAACACAAACAAGATGAATAAGTAAATTATATGATTAAGTTATAAGTATTACAGAATATAGAGAAGGAAAAGGAAGATTGCTACTGATTTGGGGAGCTAAATTTTTAATAGAGTGGTCAGGGTAAGCCTTGTTGAGAAGGTGATAATTGAGAAAAGACATGAAACAGATGAGAAAGTAAGTCATAAGCATATTTTAAAGGATATCATACGGAAGGAAGAAACTTTGCAAATGTTTTGAGGCATAGCACGTGTCTGGCACGTTGAAGTAAATAGCAGCTTGAAGGCCAGTGTGGACAAGAATCAGGGGCAATGAAGCAGAGTGAGATGAGGTGAGCCAGAGAGCAGGCAGAGGCCAGACAAAGTAGAATCTTCAAGACCATCTTGGGAAGTTTGGATTGTTTTCAGATAGGGAAGATTTTGTGCCAAAGAATGACCCAAATATACTTAAATTCTAAAAGGAACATGACATTGGATCTGTCATAAATAAGCAAAAAACCAAGGCAAACATGTAAAAAATCCAAAGAGGCAAGAGAATATTTCAAGGCAAGAATTGATTGTGACTTGGATATAGTGGTAGCAGTAGAGATGGTAAGAATTAGTTGTATTCTGGGTATATTTTAAAACTAAAGCAAACAAGATTTGTAGTTACATTAGATATTCAATAATAATAATTTTGTATACTAATGTAAAGATACAGGGGAGAAATACATTTGAAATAGTAGAAAAAAAAAGATAGTTAAGAGAATCAAGTGCACAAGAAAAGAGTGTTTCCTTAGATAGAATCAGATAAGTTTCATCTTTAGAAATGGATTAGAAGGCAGAAGCATGAATATTGATTGCGGTAGGTAGATAGGTGGGTTCCTGTGAATCTGAGAAAGTTCTCTTTGAATGATGTCACTTTAATGAAACAGGAACAATGATTACTTGAGAGTGAAAATGCGAAATTATGTGTTGTACCTTGAGAAAAGAAGGAAAACAATGCAATAGTCTGTATTAGTCCATTTTCACACTGCTATGAAGAAATACCGGAGACTGGGTAATTTATAAAGGAGAGAGGTTTAATTGAATAACAGTTCCACATGGCTGAGGAGTTCTCAGGATAATTACAATCATGGGGAAGACAAAGAAGAAGCAGGCACCTTCTTTACAGGGCACCAGGATGAAGCAAGCAGGGGAAATGTCAGCACCTTCTTCACAGGGCAGCAGTGAGTGCAAGCAGGGGAAATGCCAGATGCTTATGAAACCATCAGATCTCGTGAGAATCACTCACTATCATAAGAACTGCATGGTGGAAACCACCCCTATGATCCAATTGCCTCCACTCGGTCCCGCCCCTGCCATGTGGTGATTATGGGGATTATAATTCAAAATGAGGTTTGGGTGGAGACACAACCAAACCATATCACACTATTTGCAGTTTATACTATGGGGTTCATTGTCACGTGCAAAGAAAATTTAGGATACGGACACACACAAGGAGTCTAAGAGTGGAAGTTTAATAGGCAGAAAAGAATAGAAAGAGAAATACCTTTCTCTATAGAGAAAGGAGTCTCCAAGCAGAAAGGACTGGCTGGTGGCAAATGCGCTGGATTTTATAATCCAGTTTGAGGAGGCAGTGTCTGATTTACACAGGACTTATAGATTGGCTTGATCAGGAATGTCCTTTACATAGTGCTCAGGGAAGGCTTGTCATCCCCCCCAATCTTATCATCCAAATGGACTTTCCAGTTGATGGGTGCCATCTTGTCTGCTTCTTACTGTAGATGTTGCTGGCAGAAAGGGGAAGATGGAGTTGCCATCTTGAACATGTGTAATTCCTAGTTCCTGCCAGCATTCACCAGTTCAAGCTCCCAGCTTGCTTGTCTATATTTGCAGATCAACTTTGCAGGTTGTTCTTTGTTAGGTAATGATTTGGATCTGCTTTTCAGAAAAGCCATACTGAGGACTTCCATACCCTTACTATCTGCCTAAGTAATTTCTTCTTAACTCCTGTAACCTGTTCACAATAGCAAAGACTTGGAACCAACCCAAATGCCCGTCAATGATAGACTGGATAAAGAAAATGTGGCTCATATACACCATGAAATGCTATGCAGCTATAAAAAAGGATGAGTTCATGTCTTTTGAAGGGACATGGATGAAGCTGGAAACCATCATTCTCAGAAAACTAACACAGGAACAGAAAACCAAACACTGCATGTTCTCACTCATAAGTGGGAGTTGAACAATGAGAACACAGGGAGGAGAACATCACACACTGGGGCCTGTCAGGTCATGGGGGACTAAAGGAGGGATAACATTAGGAGAAATACCTAATGAAGATGACGGGTTGATGGGTGCAGCAAACCACCATGGCACGTGTATAACTATGTAACAAACCTACACATTC
This sequence comes from Homo sapiens, assembly GCF_000001405.40. NCBI lineage: Eukaryota > Metazoa > Chordata > Mammalia > Primates > Hominidae > Homo > Homo sapiens. The sequence goes on from NC_000003.12 coordinate 88,939,961, forward strand.
TGCACATGTACCCCAAAACTTAAAGTATAATAATAATAATAAAACATAGTTTCAAGACTTCAGAATTTGAACTGCATGTTTTGGTTCACATATCTATTTTCTCTCCATAATATTTCTATGTCTCGTGAATCCTACAAAATCAGTCCTACCATGACTTCTGAAAATATATTTATTTCTTATTTAAATACAAACAATAGGATTTATGCTACAACCATTATAGAGACTATTAATATGGTAAATGCCTGTGCTTTGTTGTCTACAAAAAAAATGTGTTTTGCCATGGTCATGCTATATAAGTATGGCTGTAGAGATGATTTACGTTAAGATATTCTACCTAAATTTGCTGGTTGACATGAAAGGTTTTGCCTAATAACCAAATTGAAAATGCCAATAATGATTTTCAATAGATGTGAGAATATAAAGACTAAACAAATTCAACGTGGGCCAGATTTCCCCTGGGTGTTATTAACGCATAGATCAGCAGCTGAAGATAGATAGAGGCCAGGCACAAGGCAGCAAATCAGTGTCATCCTAAGCATTGAAATGAACTCTAAAAGAAAAGCAAGGCAGTAAATTGTGACATTATCCCCTGGGTATTTAGTATATATGCAACTACATGCTCCAGAACTATATCACATCTGTATCAAGAACAGCCCTATGCTTGTGAAATCATGTATGACAAATTAGTATTTAGGAGTGGTATGAAATATTTTTCCAATCAACACTTCCTTAACTATCATTTCAGTGTACATTCTTCACAGTGAACATTTTACCTTAGCTTATAAAACAAGATAATTTTATTAAAATTTATTGTTGAGACAAATCACAAAAACACTTTTATTAAAAAAAAACAGATGTATAGATGCTGCAGAGGCTGATGATAATACTACTTAAAACTGATGGTTCCTTTTTCTTTCCTCGTTGCACACATCACTAAGGCAATCTTATGAACGTCAGCATTATTCTTCAAGGTTTATCACCATTCTCATAGGTCAATTTAGGTTTCCTGGAAATATATTAACTTTGTAATTCAATTAATATGAAAATCCGTAGCAAACTATTTGATTAAAATGTGTCCTACACTTCCCATATGTGTATATTTTCTTTCTTTGAATCCCTTGAAGGAAGATTAATCTTAGAAACTTTCAAATTACTTTTAGTTTTTGAATTTTCAGTTTTTTCAAACAATTAACAAATTGGAGAAGAAAGCAGCAACATAAAGTAGTTCCTTGTTAACACATATGTTATGTTGTTAACACATATTTAGAGATCATTTGAAATTTAAGTGCCCGTTTATGGTCACGAAAATTATCTCTGAACATCTGTGTTCCACACACTCAGAGACAGTGAACATGGCAGTTTCACCTGGCTGGGGTATAGATCTTATCAATACTCTCTCAATTGAATGGCCTTTGGTGCTAGTAATGGGTTTCCAATTTGTAAAACCCTTTGCAGATATCAGGGCTTACAGAGGAATGAAAGAGTGAAATGCAAGTAAAGAAGCAAAATATTAGTGAGAGAGAGAACATATTGTGAACATTTAGTTCCATATTTATATTTTATTTTATACCATTTTTCTATTTCATAAGATAGCCACACATGGCCTCACTCAAGGAGGAAAAGTGATGGTTTTTTGTTCTCCTTACTCAATTAGGACAAACATTCGAGCAGTTTATGTTCGTGAGTCAACTGTGCCAGAATCACCAGGAATACTTGTTTAGGATGACCGTATAATGCATCTTCCAATCCAATACCCTTTTGAGAGAGAAACAGGAGGCTTTGATAATTAAGCCAGGAGAACAAGCTCAAGACAATTATGCTTTATTGTCACCTTAGCTAAAATGCAGATTACTCATTCCCATTCTAGATCAAATAAATAAAAACAAATGCTTGGTTTAAAAGAGTGGAAAGAATTTGATATTTTCGGTATTCTTTCATAAAAGGGAGATAATCTGAAGAGGAGAAGAAATAATGTGAAGGAGAATTTCAAAATTATAGCAAGAGGCTAGGGGCCCTGGGGTGCCGCCCACATGGTAGGACACGCCTGACAATTTTTTGCACAGTGATATCTACTGTTACAATTTAAATTATTTCCAGTACTAACTGTAATATGTATTTCTCTTCTTTGCATCCAAATATGAATTAAAATGTTTTTCCAATAGTACTTTAAGATTAAGTAATATATTTTAGAGAAGTGGTACTTTAAGATAAAGAGAAAATAGGGGTAGAATCCAAAATTCAGGAAAATGGCAAAGAAAAAAATAACCTTTTTGAGACCAGATGCACAGTGGAAACTAAGAATGCAAAGGAAACAGGCCATTTGAACAATATATGTGCTCAAGAGAAATATACAACTCCTCAGTATCATCAACAGCATGGTGGGGGCAAGTGAGTTTCTTATAGTATATGGAGTGGGAACCATTATAATAAAGGTCCACTCAAGTCTCAGGGACTTTGGTAACTTGAGTCACTTGAGTAACACTGATAATGTGAAGAACATGCTCATGCATAAAACTTTTTTGTGTGATTTTATGAAGGTAAATCTATTAATGGTGAGAGAGATAGCTTAGAGCAACAGAGATTAGGAAGAATAGTTGGTGTGATATTGTGAAATATATATTTGGTCCTCATCTTCTTGTGTACAACTTCTGAAATCTCTAGAATCTTCAAAGTGATAAATGTCATTTGTATGCTAATGAGATGATTAATGGCTGGCAGTCCCTAGACAGCTTTGGGATGGGAGCTGGCCACCAGAAAAACCAAGGTGGGATTAGAGGGTTGGAACTTTCAGCCCCACACCCCAACCATCGGGGAGGGGACATGGGGATGCTGAAGGATATGTTGATCACCAATGGCCAGTGATTTAATAAATTATGCCTATGCAATGTAGCTTCCATTGAAAACCCAAAAGGATTCGGTTTGGGGAATTTCAAGATAGCTGAACATGTGGACGTTCCTAAAGGGTGGCACACAAGGAGAAGTATGGAATCTCCAAACTCCTTCCCCCATACCTTTTTGTATGCATCTCTTCATCTACATCTTCTGTAATATTCTTTACAATAAACCTGTAAAAATAAGTAAGTGTTTCCCTGAGTTCTGTGAGCCACTCTTGCAAATTAATCGAACATAAGGAAGGAACTTTGGGAACCTGGATTTACAGCCAGCCTGTCAGATGCACAGGTAAAGCAACCTGGGGCTTGTGATTGACATCAGAAGTGAGGGGTAGTCTTTGGGGCTGAGCCCTCAACCTGTAGGATCCGAACCTATGCCCAGGTAGATAGTGTCAGAATTGAATTGAACTGAACTGGAGGAAACCCAGCTGGTATCTGTTGCAGAACTGATTGTTAGCTTAAGGCGTGGGAGTAAACCTCTGCACAACTGGTGTCAGAAGCATGTTGTGAAAGTATAGTAGGAGAAACTGAGTTTGTTTTTCTCTACTCTGTCAGCAACTGCAGAAATATGAATGAATGGAAATAATTTGCTGGGAGAGTATGACCAGAATTTATAGTAGAAATAGAAGAACTTTCACTTAAAGATTGATATAACCATCTCTACAAAATTCAAATAAAGTTATAGTACGTGAAAACTAATTAACTATGTATTAGAGAGCATAGAAGGAGTCAAATAACTATATTTTTTAGATTTAAATAAACATACTCATAACAGTTTAGGCGATAGGCAAAGATATCTAATCTCTCTGTGCCTCACTTTTCATATCAGTAATATAGCTATTTAGTACCTATAAATTTTTTGTAACAGTACCTGCCTCATAGGTCATTGTGTTAATCATATATCTATATCATATATACATATACACACACATATATATTCAATATAATACCAAGCTAAATAAGTACTGCCTGACTGGCTGTGAATTTATGGTTGTTTTGTTGTTATTATTATAAAATGATGCTTTTTCTTAAACATAACAGGGCCTCACAAAGGTGAATTATACTAATTACGTACATTTGTCCAGCCCTTAATATGTGCCAAGCCCTACCTCAACATTCTGTAACCATTACCTTGGTAAAGTGTGTTCAGTTCACCTGTGACCCCAACTAATTATTTTGGAAATCAGTAAATGCCTTCTATCATAAAGAGGCCTGGGTACACATGAATAGATGAAAACATATCCATCTGATTTCCTTGAAAAAACAGCTACAACACATAGGGCTCCTGATAGTGCAGCAGAGGCATTTCCTAAAAGAAGCACTGTGCTTGGTGGACTAAACTGCTTTACAAAGAGCAATGCATTTCCAATAACTCAACCTCAGATATGTCTCTCGTCAGTCATCTGTCTCTTTTTGTTATTTTTTTGTGTGTGATTCTGAATTCTTTTTTCTTTCTAATTTACACACACACACACACACACACACACACACACCCTTTATGCCTACAGCAAACATTTTCCTCACGTAGGAAACCTAGCTTTAATCCCAAGGCTCTCTCAAGATACACGAGTTCTCTTAAAGTTCTAAAACACAGTAATGTCCAGCATTTGATTGTCTGAATCACCCTTATTATCCAAGGTGTAATCTTATAAGGTAATTGTAATAATAAAATCCTACACCATTCTAAATCATAGTTTGCCATGTGCCATTGGAAATAATAAACAAAATGGGATACTTATTATTTCCTAAATGACTCATTGGTTCAATGTTTTTAGACCACAAAAAAAGACTGGCATAAAACTGTTTAACTGTGATGCCAAATGTAAATGACTATGACAACACCCACTGGTGACAAATGATACTGTCAATGCAATCCATGATAATTACTTTTGTATCTATGAATGTATATAAGTTGATATTGACCTGACTTGAATACAAAAACCCCTTCTGCATTCTTCAGCTATAGTGGGAAGCAAGGTACATGAGCTACAAGAATTTGTTGATCCAAACTATGTTTTGAAATAATTACTTCAGATTTTATTGACCCCAGCCATTACTCAGTGTTCACACTATGACTCCAGCTGAAGCTTCTTCTTAGAATTCTCAGTGAGGCCTCATTATTAAAACATGGCTTTAAGTTTCTTATCTTACAGGGTGATGCTATGAATGGCATTAGTATAACAGATTAAGGAGGGCATGTCTTATAAAAGCAAGTCACTAACCTTTCATGTCTACTTCTGCACTTTGTGTGCTACAATGCTCCCTAGATATTAAAAAACAGTGAATCAAATGGGGCTGTTCACTGCGAGGAAAGATCAATTTTTTTTTTTAGCAGATTCCCACAGATAGCCAAAGAAACTCACTCAATACATTTGTATATGAAGCTCTTAAATATCAATACGAATTGTATGTATCCAAAGGGGAGCCTAAATCAAGAAAAACATTAAGCAATGCTGACATTTAGGAGTTTTCCTGATAGCCATGATGAATAGAATTAGTATGTTACAAAATCAGTCACAAAGAAAGCCTAAATTTAGACTTTCTAAATTTTAAAAAAATTACTGGAATAATTAAAAATGCTAATATCCTTCTTAGATGTTACATAAAGTGTACCCCACTAGCAACACCACCATCAAAAACCAAAAGACCTTTAAAATTTTCAAACACTTCCTCAGGTAGCAAATTATAGAAATGTTGTTATGATTTTCAAAAAGAACTAGGAATTCTTTTTGAGTTTGAGTTTAACATTGTGGATTGCTTCCTTTTATTTGAATATTTTCAATATGCCCATTTCATTATATCATATTCTTCTGAGAACAGATAATATTAAATCCTCTAATTCAGAGAGGGACTAAAATTCTATTCTTAGTCTCCATTATAAAAGTGAAAACTTCTATAAATCTGTTGGATCTAGGACCTTAAAATTAAATATTTTACTTTACATTTCAGATGTTAATGATTACTTTCATAGAATTAATGTAATGTTTTTATTAGCAACTTGAAATTATGTGACTGTTTCAAAAGCTCTTACATCATATTACAATTTTTATATATCTATAAAATCTTTTAGTAGTCAATTCAACAACCATTATGATGAAGCATACTGTATTTGCTACATTAAATCAACCTCTACTTTTAGAGAGGGTCATTCTCTATTCTTGAATGGTTCTTCCTAGTACACGCATACCTCATTTTATTACATTTCAATTTATTATGTTTTGAAAATATTGCATTTTTTACAAATTGAAGGTCTGTGGCATCCCCGTGTCGAGAAAGTCTATGAGCACCACTTTTCAACAGCGTGTACTCACTTCATGTCTCCGTATCACATTTTAGTAATTCTCACAAATTTTTAAAATGTTTTCATTATTATTATGTGTGTTATACTGATTTGTGATCAGTGATCTTTTTCTACTATTGTAAATGTTTTGGGTTCCCCATGAACCACCTCTATATTAAGATGGCAAACATAATCAATAAACGTTGTGCGTGTTCTGACTACTCTGCCAACCAGTTCTTCTCTCAACGCTCTCCTACTCCTTGGCCCTCATTATTTCCTGACACAAAACTATATTGAAATTAGGACAATTAATAACATTACAATGGTTTCTAACAGTTCAAGTGAAAGGAAGAATTGCACATCCTTTACTTTAAATCAAAAGCTAAAAAAGATGAAGGTTAGTGAGGAAGTCATGTCATAAGTCAAGATAGGGTGAAAGCTAGGCTTTCAATGCCAGTGAGCCAAATTATGAATGCAAAGGAAAATTTCTTGAAGGAAATTAAAAGTGCTACTCCAATAAACACATGAATGATAAGAAAGCAAAACAGCCTTATTGTTGATGTAAAGTTTTAGTGGACCGGATAGAAAATCATACCAGCCACAACATTCCCTTAAGCCAAAGCCTAATCCAGAGCAAGTCGTTAAATCTCTTCAATTCTATGAAGACTGAGAGAGACGAAGAAGCTGTAGGAGAAAAGATTGAAGCTAGCAGAGATTGGTTCATGAGATTTAAGGGAAAAAGCTTTCTCCATAGCATAAAATTGCAAGAGAAGCAGAAAGTGCTGATGGAGAAACTATAGCAACTTATCCCGAGGACCTAACTAACATAATTGATGAAAGTGGCTACACTAAACAACAGATTTTTCAGTGTAGAAGAAACCACCTTCTTTTAGAAGAATGTCATCTAGGGCCTTCATAACTAAGGAGGAGAAATCACTGCCTGGCTTCAAAGCTTCAAAGGGAAGTCTGACTCTCTTGTTAGAGGCCAATGCAGCGGATGACTTTAAGGTGAAGTCAATGTTCATTTACTATTCTGACAATCCTAGGCCCTTAAGAACAATGCTAAATCTACTCTGCATGTGCTCTACAAATGAAACAAAGCCTGGATGACAATACATCTGTTTACAGCATGGTTTACTGAATATTTAAGCCCACTGTTGAGACCTAGTGCTTAGAAAAGAATTCCTTCAAACAATTACTTTTCATTTACAATTCACCTGTTCACCAAGAGCTCTGCTGGAGATGTATAAGGAGACTACTGTTTTCACGACTCCTAACACAGCATCAATTCTGCAGCCCATGAGTCAAGAAATAATTTGACTTTCAGGTCTTATTATTTAAGAAATATATTTTGTAAGGCTACAGCTGCCACAAATAGTGATCACAGTGATTCCTCTGAGGGATCTGAAAAATCACTTAAATCTACAAAGTAAATTGGAAATCTTCTGGAAAGGATTCATTCTCCTAGATGCTTAAAAACATTTGTGATTCATGTAAGAAGGACAAATATAAACATTAACAGGAGCTTAGAATAAGAGGATTCCAAACCTCATGGTTGACTTTGAGAGGTTCAAGACTTGAACTGAGAAAGTAACTACAGATCTGGTAAAAATGTCAAGGGAACTAGAATTAGAAGTGGAATCTGAAGATGTGACTGAACTTCTAAATCGCTGTGGTAAAACTTGAACAGATGAGTTGCATCTTACGAATAACCTAAAGAAGTGGTTTCTTCAGAGATGAAATTTATTCCTAGGGAAGATGCTATGAACATTATCAAAATTACAACAAAAATTACATAACCCGGGCCATGTCCTTTAAATATGGCTTTCCCAGGTGCACACAACAATGTGAGGAGTGGGGTGGAGCGTGTGTGGTGTGTGGATGCCACCTGGGCAAGAGCCATGGTGGACCATGAGTTGAGTAAATTCTGGAGGGATTCTGCCTCTATTGGAGCCTTTGCAGCCAGGCAGTTGTGAACTATGAGCTAGAGTGAAGCAGAAATCTAGGAAGACGAGCTGCAAGTTGGTCATAAGTGAACCAGGACTGAATTGGGATATTTTCCCCAAAAATGGCCTTAAGACATTTTTCTCTTGAGAAAATTATAAAGATTATCCCATGGCTCCAAGTTTAAAAGAACTATGTGTTTTATTGAACAGAGAGAGCAGAGGAGTTATGTGGACTTGTTGGTTAAATATACAAAGATTTCTGCAAATTCCAAAACTATCAGAATAAAGAAAAAATGACTTCTTGCAGTACTTGGATATGAAAAAAACATGTGAATGAAGAAGTTACTGAGTTCCTAAAGTTTTTGCAGAATTCTGCAAAGAAGTTTGCACAGGATTATAATATGCTTTCTGATGATGCTTGTCTCTTCACAGTGAAAATTTTGAGAGCTTGCATTGAACAAGTGAAAAAGTTCCTAGAATTCTATACTCTCCATGAGGTCACCAGCTTAATGGTATTCTTCCCATTCAGAGTAGAGATGGAATTAAAGTTAGAAAAATCTCTTCTTGCATTGGGCAGGGTAAAATGTGTGAAAACAGTATTTCCCTCAATGCTTATAAAGTTGCAGCTCTCAAAAGATGATATATCTGCCATTGAATTGCCAGAATGAACGGCTGAAGCTATGCATTATTATATTAGAAAAGATCCAAATGCAGAGAAACTTATTTCACGATATCACCCTCAGCTAGCTCTAACTAGTCAATCATTATTTACTTTATTAAATAATCATGGACCAATGTACAAGGAACCTTGGGAACTTTCGGTATTGATTCAAGTAATACCTGTTGCAGGTTCAAAACCAGTTAAAGTAATATATATTAATTCGCCACTTCCCCGAAATAAAATAACTATGAGAGAAAGAAAACAAATCTTTCATGAAGTTCCATTAAAATTTATGATGCCCCAAAACACATTTGTTCCAGTATCTGCAGTCTTTATGGACAAACCTGAAGAGTTTATATCTGAAATGGACATGTCCCATGAATTCAATGAGTGCCGAAAAATTGAGACTCTTGAAAACTTGTATCTGGATTTTGATGATGAGGTCACAGAACTTGAAACTTTTGGAGTAACCACCACCAAAGCATCAAAGTCACCAATTCCAGCAAGTACTTCCACAGTACCTAACATGACAGATGCTCCTACAGCCCCCAAAGCAGTAACAACACCTGTGGCACCAAGTGCACCAGACATTTCTGCTAATTCTAGAAGTTCATCTCAGATTCTGATTGAACAATGGCAAAAGGAGAAACAACTGGTCACTGGTATGGATGGTGGCCCTGAAGAGTGCAAAAATAAAGATGATCAGAGTTTGAATCATGTGGTGATAAGGTATCAAATTCTGACAAGTCTTTGATGCAAGATAGTGACTTGAAAACATCTGATGCCTTACAGTTAGAAAATTCTTAGGAAATTGAAACTTCTAATAAAAATGATATGACTATGGATATGGAACATGCTGATGGTGAAAGACCCAATGTTCTGGAAAACCTAGACAACTCAAAGGAAAAGACTGTTAGATCAGAAGCAGCTAAAACTGAAGATCCAGTTCTCTTCAGCAGTGATACAGATGAGGAGTGTTTAATCATTGATAGAGAGTGTAAAAATAATAGCAATGGAAAGACAGATGTTGTGGGTTCTAACTTAAGTTTTAGATCAGCTAGTCCAAATTCTTCCTCAGGACAGGCTTCTGTAGGAAAACAGACTACTACTGTTTGTAGGCCTGCAGAGTCGTGTGTTTTTTTTAAAAAACGTATCAAATGAGTATATAAAAAATATGATCCAGTTGGAGAAATTTTAAAAATGCAGGATGAGCTCTTAAAGCCAATTTCCAGAAAAGTACCCAAACTGTCCTTGATGAATTTAGGAAATTCTAAACAGTCTTCTGTTTCTGAGCAATTGTCTGTTCCTTCAGATGGCTCTAGTTGACCGAAATCTGGATGGCCTTCTGCATTTCAGAAGCCCAAAGGACAATTGCCATATGAACTTCAGGACTATGTTGAAGATACATCAGAATACCTAGCTTCTCAGGAAGGAAATTTTGTTTATAATTTATTTAGACTTCAAGATCTGTTGTTTCTCATGTGCTGCAGTGTCCAGAGGATAGAGACAAGACCACATTCTCAAAGAACAGAAGAAAATCAGAAGACAATTTCCAGTTGATGTACTACCAAAAGTAGAGTATCAAGCTTGTTATGGAGTTGAAGCTCTGATTGAAAGTGAATTTTGTCACTTAAGGACTGAAAGTTTATTACATTCCAACAGCTCATTTTATGTTGGGCATATTGATGCATTTACTTCAAAGCATTTTCTACTGGAAGAAACTACCTCAGAAGAATTAAACGCTTTCAGCACTCAAGATTTCCAATTTATTTAACATCCTCCAACACATTCTAAAGAAATTAAGTAGCTTGCAGGAGGGTTCCTACTTGTTATATTATGCAGCAGAAGATTCTTCACTCCTGAACTATAAGGTCTCTGATGGAAAAGTTACTAGGACAGCATACAATTTGTATAAAACCCATTGCGGCCTTCCTGGCATACCTTTCAGTCTCTCATTTCCCTGGGTTCCATTAGATCCCAGGCTTTTATTACCATATCATATCCATCATGGAAGAATACCTTGTACTTTTCCACCTAAATCACTGGATACCACAACAAAAGTTTGGTGGAACCAGAATGCCTATACACAGCCACAGGATTCCAGTTTCCATAGAAACCAAAAGCAGTTGCTTGCCTGCTCAGCAAGTTGAAACTGAAGGAGTGCTTCCAAATAAAAGAAAAATAACTTGAGGACTGTACCATGGGAAATTAAATTTAAAAAACAGTTATAACAATGTTTAGTTTAGAAAAGTTTGGTGGTTCACGCCTGTAATCCCAGCACTTTGGGAGGCTGAGGTGGGTGGCTACCTGAGGTCAGGAGTTTGAGACCAGCCTGGCCAACATGGTGAAACTCTATCCCTACTAAAAATGCAAAAATTAGCCGGGAGTGGTGACGCACGTCTGTAATCCCGGCTACTCGGGAGGCTGAGGCAGGAGAATCGGTTGAAACCAGGAGGCGGAGGTTGCAGTGAGCTGAGATTGCACCACTGCACTCCAGCCTGTGCGACAGAGCAGGACTTCGCCTCAAAAAAAAAAAAAAAAAAAAAAAGGAAAGAAAGAAAAGTTTGAGGGGAAATATGACAAAAAGATCAGTAGGCAAGAGGAACGTTTTTCCCGTAGTATCCTCAAGAGTTCTTAGAGTGTCTTGAAAAAATATGTTGGCTACATGAAGGAATGCTTCCACTGAAACATAATATTATACTTTTCACCCTTAAAGTTTGAGGAGGATCTTGATAAGTTTTAACATTATCATGGCAGGGAAATAGATAAAAAAGAAAACTATTTTTACATTAAACCTTTTCTAAAGATTTTAAATAGAAAAATAATTTGCTGCTTTTTTTAACAAGAACATTTACCATTATGTATTATGTTAGTTATATTGCCAGCCTGTTGAGACTGACTCAAAATGTTAAATATTGCCACTGTTGAAGATAATTACGAGCATTGCAAACCTTGTTTCTGACCCATTTTTACAGTTTTTATGTACTCCTCTAAAATGATGAATGTTACAAGTTAAAATTACATAACTTAGTTAAGAAAGCAGTGGAAGGGTTTCAGAAGATTGACTGCAATTTTGAAAGACGTTTTACTGTGGGTGAAATGCTATCAAACATCATTACATGCTACAGAGTAACCTTTCAAGAAAGGAAAAGTCAATTGATGAGGCAAACTTTACAGTTTTCTTTTAAGAAATCGCTACAGCCACCACGACCTTTAGCAACACCATCCTGATCTATAAGCAGCCATCAGCATTGAGGGAAGATCTTCCACTAGCTAAGACCTTCCACTATGACTTGCTGAAGGCTCAGGTGATCATTAGCATTTTTTTAGCAATAAAATATTTTTAAATTAAGATACATGCATTGTTTTTTATACCGTGTGCTTGAACACAGAACAGGCTACAATATTGCGTAAACATAACTTTCATATGTCCTGAGAAATGAAGAAAAATTGTGTGACTTGCTTTATTGCAATATTTATGTTTTTGAGGTGATCTGGAAGTGAACCCACAATATCTCCAAGGTATACCTGTGTTTATCACTATAAATATTCCATATGAAAGAAGGTATGAATACCTCAGTGTTTAATTCCTTGAAATTATAAAGGAAAACACTTTACCATGTATACATTATCATCCCTAGTTATATTTCTTTAAGTGATAAAGAGAAAAAAAACTAGAGAGGCAGCCATAGTGGGAAAATCAGGCCAGGGTTTGTCCAGGAGCACACAGGAATACCCCAAACTGGTAACAAAGTTGTCAATGAGATAGGCCAAAAAGTGGAGAACTAGATTCTAGAATATGTTTTGACAGAAGGATGTATGTAACATCAGAATAACTGTTAATGTTCTCTGGGCTTTTTTCGTTCTAATCTTCAGAGTAAAGGGTGTTGGATGGCATGGTAAAAAAAGTTCTTTGATTTGTTATTATATTGATATTATATCACCTTGCTTGGAGGTGTATCATAAGCAATATACCCTAAAGGATGTAAGTTGAATATGTATACTTCTTTTTTCTCTTTCTCTTTTTTTTTGTAATAAGACAGTGTTGTGAAATAATAATCAAGATGCTTTCCACTTTGTAACATTACTACCCCACCCTCATTTTTTTCTGAAAAGACCTAGCCAACACCCTAGAGCAGTTAATCAGTTATTATAGTTTCAGTGTGAGCTTTTTAAAACAGTGAAGAAATTGATAGACTGGTTCAAAGTATAACATTTGAAAGAATCCTTGCAGAGCAATTTTAAACTTTATTCGAGTATTTATATGTGTGTGCATGTAGGTATGAATGTGTGTATTTTTTATCACAGAAGGAATCTCAACATCCTGGGATGCCAAAGAAAGAGAAAGCAGAGAGTTAGATGGATATTGAGGGCCTCTTATCTATCAGCACTCCCTAGTCCATTAGCTATAGGCCCCTATACACATTTTTTGGGATCGAGTAATTAAGAGAACATGTATCCAACTTCCTTTGGAAGCCAGAAGAGCAGAGCAGACTGGTAAAAGTTTCCACCGCCTCCTAGAGAGACAATCAGTAAAGGAGTAATAGCTATGTTTGTAGCCAAGGTCAAAGAGGTCAATACAGACATTATAAATACCAATAAAAGATTAGGTGCCTGAGACACTGTGAATGTACCACAATTAGAGGCTTTAATTCATTTTTAGTAAGCAATTAGGAATCTCCTAACTTTTCTCAGGTATTATTTTATTATAGGCATCTCAAGCTGTCAACAGCAACCTGCCATCTTTCCCCGTCTAAGAAAATCCTAGCTATCATTTTCATCCTTTTATTTTTTTGCCAGAAGATTTTGTTTTTTATGTTAACTGTACAAGTAGAATAACAAAAAACCTTAGGCTAAAATTAATATTTTACCATGCTTATATTCATATCACAGAGGCCAAAGCCCTGTGAGACAATTTCCAGTAAGCAGTAATTCTGATTTCATTGTTCATAGCAAGTAGGGAAGGCATTATTCCATGAAATGTGATTAAATTTCATGTTGGGAAGAAAGTTTGAGTGTGAAACTATCTAGACTTTTTTGTGCTTAAGTAGAGGACAGAAATTTGAAAATGATAACACTGCGAAGTTATTCATTTCACACATTACCCTTAAAATAACTAATAAGATAATCTTAACCTTCATGTTTATTAAAAAATGTAGGTGAAAAGAAACTATTTCAAAGGAGATGTAAGAATATTTCTTAATTTAGGTTTATCTTCCAAGAAGTTATTTTAAATGTGTAAACATTAATTTTGATTTTGCATGCAAATTTCCTAACCCCATGTCTGGCACATAGTAGCCTCTCAATAAGTAGTTAGTTTTTTTGTTGGTTGGCAATATTACTATTAATATCACGTGGCAACTGAATGTAGTTTATAAGGCTGAATATATAAAACTATTCAACATATTTTAGTTGACTTTATTTGATAAAATAACGGTCATTAGGTGACATATTAAGTTCACAAATAAACACAGATTTTACTAATTTTGTAGGTACATAACATTGGAAACAAATAATCAAATATAAAATATAGACACTGGCTGGGAGCAGTGGCTCGTGCCTCTAATCCCAGCACTTTGGGAGGGCGAGGCGGGTGTATCCCTTAAGGTCAGGTGTTCAAGACCAGCCTGGCCAACATGACGAAACCCTTGTCGCTACTAAAAATACAAAAATAAGCCATGCGTGGTGGCCTATGCCTCTAATCCCAGCTACTCGGGAGGCTGAGGCATGAGAATTGCTTGAACCTGGGAGGCGGAGGTTGCAGTGAGCCGAGATCGCACCACTGCACTCCAGCCTGGGCGATGGAGTGAGATACTATCTCAAAAAACAAACAAACAAACAAATACATACATACATACATAAATACATAAAAAATAGACATTGTAAAATATACTGCTTTTATGGATTATCTCCCTGAAAACATTAAAATAACTGCTGTTGAGCCTGAAATGCTGAAGTGTATTGCAATAACGGTGAAAATGGCATCATGAAATAGTTTTATAAAATAAATAACCTATTCTTTGAAAAAAGTGCCCTTTAGAGATTGTAATGATCACCAAGTAAAAGCAAAATAAATGTTGAAATAAATTGATTATATTTCAGAAATCCTTCCCTTCCTTCAAAAAAAGTAACCTCTCTCCTAGATATTGATAAATGAGATTTTTGATGAAAAAATGAAACTCTGGGCCAGAAAATAGATTTGGGAAGCATCAGTCTTTTGCCCTTTCTCAAAATACAGACATAACTGAAGTGTCAAAAGTGGAACTGACAGTGATGGCCGAGCATCTGACAGCTCAAACACAGCTTGCTCATCAGTCTGATGCTGCCAAGCAGGAGATGGCACGATTCCACCATATAAATATGTCTGTTATATTGAGGTTAGGACTGGTTTTTGCCTTCGTGTGATTGGAGCTTATTATTATTATTATGAAGCATTGCTTACCACTTAGTCTACAACTTCAGGGCCAATATTCAAACCTTCATTTCCCCAGTCGCCCAGGATGTGCTTGCAATATTATCTCCCTTTGAATATACTTGATCAGAATGCAAAAAAAAAAAAAAAAATGGGCAAGAGGGCGTACATTCAGAAGCACTTTTGAGATCTGTCATATTTCCTCATTTGCAAGGCAGTATACTATGAAATCAAGTTTTGGATTCTAATTTTCTGGCTCCGTCAGATGATTTGAACTGGTGATGTCAGCACTTCATGATGCTGATGCCAAGCGTTGTTTATGCCTTCCTGTCCTCCAGGGACACGTAAATCCATCCTGCATCCACAAGCTGTCAGAGGAGAAGAAAGGCACTGGTCACTAATCTTGTCATGATCAACACCGCTCTCAGAACCCTGGTTTATGTCTTGCCTGGATTGGAATGAGCCGGTAATATAAATGTGTACCTTGTATATCCTTTCCGTCGTTGCCATCAGTTGATCTTCTTTTCTCTTGACATTCTTTTAAACCATGTTAGACAGGTGTTACATAAAGTTGAAAACATATCTCTACTAAAGAGTTTCATGCGTATGTGTTAAATGGCTATTGAACAATTTATTAGGGTTTTGCAGGAGCAGGCAGTCCCTCCGGGTTCCTTTTTTCCCCTCTGAATTCTATTTTAGTTAACAGGCTGAATATAAAGGAGAAGTCACTGCACAATGTGATATGAACAGCAATAAGACGGAAAGTTCCCTGCTTAAATGGCCCCATTAAATCCGCCATTGCCCCTTGATGGCCCATGATGGCTCATTTCTTTCAACAAAGAATACTACCAGTGTCGATGTCGTGTTCAGTAATCATGGACTGCTGTTCTCAGAAAAATATATATGTATATCTTTCCCAAATAGTGAATGTTGAGCTTCAACGCTTCAAATTATTTTCAGTCTTTCAATTCTCAGAATGAATAGACACAGAATTTTATTTTCTCTTGCTTAGCATTTTTTATTAATACACTTGGCTGTTCTTTTTGCCTTCAGCAAAAATATTCTGATGTATATGGAGATAAGAGTTCTTTGTTTACTCATAGCCCATGTGCATAAACAAACGTCCTTACTATGGGAAGCCTTTATTTGCTACAATACGAGGAGCAATTTTTTAAAAAGCAAATATTTTATAGTTATCACTTCAGCCTGGATTGGAGCCTGTGGCTCATTTTACAACCTGCACAAGTTTTTGGTACTTGTAAATTTGTTGTTGTAAAATTTGGTCTTTCCACCTTTGGCCTGATATCAAAAGCTTTATATTTTCACTTTCTGGAAAAAAAAACCTTGATATTTTGAAATTCTCTGACCTTTCATTTATGCGTATCCATAATAGAAAACATGGCTTAATAGAATGGGCTTCAAATAATTTTGAAGGCAAACCGATTTTAGCGCCAACCCTAACACTTCATATTTGTGTGCTTTCTGGCAAGATATTTAAACTCCACATCTTTCAATCGATTCAATAATAATAATAACAGCATCACTAACCTTGCAACGTTTTTGTAAGAAGCAAAGACATTATTTACAAAGTATCTAGAACATTTCCTTATATACAAACAAGGCTTAATATATAATAACTCTATATTTTATTTATGCAAATTACCAAGCTCTTTCACTTATAGTGGCACCCAGCTTATTAGTAAAAGAAACTAATGCAGGTAAAATGAACATCTAGAGCATTCATTAATTAAATAAAAGATACCCAGAGATCTGATTTTGCAGAAAAAAATAAAGTATATAAAAGCTGTGTAGACCTATTAATTGCTTTTGTTTTCATTAGAGATTTTATTGTGGGTTGATTAAAATGTGCGTGCACACGAGGTCTCTTCTGCACTGGCTGACAGCGTTTCCTCCTTCGTGCCCTTTATCTATAATACATTTGAGAGTCTAACAATAATCCCAACCCCGAAACAAGCCAGAGCTTCTGTTTGCATTTCTCTGTCTTAGGAACGGCTCTGTCAGGTTTCTTTCTGAATTCATTAATGCAGTTTCATCACTCAATAAAATATATGATCAATTCCAACACACATCCACTAGTTGATGACATAGCTCAGAAATATTTTTGTTTCCATGAAATATGAACAATAGTTTCAGTGGTACCTAGCTCAAAAATGTAACTTCCTTCAAGTTCCTCTTTGAAGTAGTTCCTCAGAACTACCTTGCAAGTGTCCACTTTGGTTAGCCAACAAAACAATTGTTTTGTATATGAAAAAACAAAAATTGTTTTTTGTATATATCCTTTTCTACTTTTCAACACTAGTTGCACTAATTCCTACCCAAGAGATCACATAGGAGGTCATTTCAAGAATAACATACACTTCTAATTCTTTTTGGTTTTATATAGTTCATGAGGCCTCACTCCAGATTCTCACTCGGATTGACCTTAGAGTTAAATGAATAATTTTGGAGACACTGTGTTTTTAGGAAATACTTTAAAGGATGAAAACGTTTAGACCTTGTGGCAAAGCAAACAGAAACTCTGTACTAGCTGTTTCTGGCTGGTCTCCATCTGGCTTCTTTGAGCCCCTCTTTACCTTCAGTTCTCTCCCTTATGGAAAGCTAGCCTAACCATGCACTGATTATACTTTCAGTAACAGAATTCTCTCTGAAGTGGTGTGAAAATGGAGATTTCTGGAGGGAGAGTTTCCATGGCTTATCTCAGATGTTGAAAAGAATCTCTGAGTCAAAAAACTTCCTCATGACAGTAATTCTATTGGCTCCCAAATATTCATATTTGTGGTTGCCAGCTCAAGGCTGTGTCATTTTGAGTCAGAAAAAAATAATAATAACCCACAATGTAACTCTCCAAAGAAAGTACTCAGTTGTCTGGCATATTTTTCCCCTGTTCCTCATTGATGCTTTCTTATTGACCTTTCTTTTTTGCTCCAATTTAGAATCTGTTAATCTTTTACCCCTGGGAGGTATGAATTTCCATATTCTGGTTGATTTATATGGATTTCCTGTAAACTGAAGACTGCAGGATGAAATTAATCACTGTGATGTCTATAGCAGTGGCCCAGGATAAGACTTAGAAAATACCTGATGTTTTCCATTCTTATTAGGAGTGAAATGAGGGCACACTATTTTCATGATGCTTCCTGTGCTGTAAAGATTATTTTGAGAACCTCACACTGATAAGATAAGAATAGGAACATGACATTTTGTACCTTTACCTGATGTTTTATGATGGTGATGAAAGAATATCCGAAGGTTTCATCTGACCCTTTCAAGAACTGTAGAGTGTTACAGGACTTCTGTGGGTAGTAATATGATTAGCATCCCAGAATGTAAGAAATTGCTGCATTAACTCAGTTTAGCTATTATGCCAGCATTCACTAAAAAAGGGAATAGTTCTGAAATTCTGAGTTACATTCACATGTTGGAAGGAGAGTTGTTAGTGTGTTTAATTTCATTCGCTTTCTTATGAGATTATTTTTCTTACTGTTCTTCTACATGTAGAAATATTCCATGTATATTCAGTTACCAAAAATGATGTAAATACCAATTACCTCCCTTTAGAAAGAATTAAATAGCATTCTGACAACCCCTAATATTAACAGTTATTAATTTTTAAAAAACTACCTTTCAAAGAAAATCCTGAGAGTCAAAGCTTAGGCCTTTTCTTTGTAGTTAAACTGCATTTTAGTTTTTTCTTTTCTCTCTCCTGTTTTATTTTAGTGTCCAGATTTCCATTTGTCATGGAAATTTAAAATTAAGCCTCTCCAATGTGCACATTTTAATTTAATATGAGGAAATGTAATTTATTATTTGGCACAGATTTATTGTTGTAAAAAGCTCCCACTGATGTCATGGTGAATTCTGTGCATGAAATGAGGGCAAACAAATGATTCATTTTTCATGAATATTGCCAATCAATGTTACATTCTCCTAAAACTGCAGTATAAGATTCTTTACCAAAATGCTCAACTGTATTTCAATATACTTCTTTTACTAAAGCCATGAGACAGAGAAAATTTTATGGAAAATAATAGTGTGGTTGGTATAACCACAAAAAGTGGTATGGGATAAAAAGTCAATTTCCAGGTCATTTTGAATGCAATAGATCCATGAATCCCTACATCCAAGCGGTAATAACCCCATAGGTAGGGTCAGCTTGTTACCTGTGATATATTTCAGTAGATACATTGCTGTCCTGTCTCTGTTGATTAGATATATGAAATAATTCTTATTTTCACATACAACTGCATCATAGCAATAAAGATTTCTCTTTATGAATCAACCCTTCTTTCATTCGACACATATTTATTACAGTTATTACATACCTTTGCTAGATATCTGAGACAATACAACAAACAATATTGACAATGTCACCAATATGTCAAGGAGCTTATATTCTAGTGGGGAGCACAGACGATAAACCAAGATAAATGGGATAATTACAAACTATAAATAATACTAATGTTATGAAGTTTTTCCTGTTTTTCTAATTGAAATCTAATTGCTTTCTAAAGCCTGATATATTATAAGGTGATTAGTGGAGAATAATTTTTTAAATCACTAATTAATGCCCTTATGTTTTATTTAACACACACACACATACACACACAGTTCTGTTTGTTTTAGTTTTCTCTGTGTCTTTTTCAGGTCAGGATTTCAATAAGAAAATGCTAAATGGATTTAGCTTACCATGCCACTGAGCTAAACAATTTGTGAAGTACTTATATACTCATTTTCGTTTCCTAGGGCTGACATAATAGATTACCACAAACTGAGAATCTCAAAACACCTGAGGTTTTTTCTCTCACAGTTCTGGGGTCCAAAATTAAGGGTGGCAGGGTTGGTTCCTTCTGTAGGCTCTGAGGGAGAAGCCAATCCTTGTCTCTCTCCCAGCTTCTGGTGCCCGTGGGCAATTGTTGGTGTCCCTTAGCTTGTAGATGAATTATTCCAATCTCTGTTTCCATCTTCACATGGCCTCCTCCTCTGTTTCTCTGTGTCTCAAATGTCCCTGTACTTATTCTTATAAAAGCAAAAGTTATTGGGCTTAGGGCCCATTGTAATTCGGGATGATCTCATCTGCAAATCCTTAAGTACATATGCAATGACCCTTATTCCAAATAAGATCAAATTCTGAGGTTCCTAGTGGAGATACCTTTTGGCGGAACAACATTTGCCCAAAACACTTGTAAATTACAATTTTATTCATTCCTGTGCATGTAAATAAGTATTATTTGTTAGATTAACAAGTTAGCTTCCCCATCATCATCTGAAAACATAAACTTACAGCCATGGAACGTGGGCAAGTTATTTCTCCGATATCTGTTGCATGTTCCTCATCTACAATATGATAGAGCTGCAAGGAGAAATAGTAGAATCTACCTTTATAGTTGGAGATGCCAACACCCTGCTACATGTAATGGACAGATCCAGCAAGCAGAAAATCAGTAAGGATGTAGTTGAACTACATAGCACCATCAATAAACTGGACTTAATTGACAGAAAATACTTCATATAACAACAGCAGAATGCACATTTTTTCTCCAGCTCATACAGAACATTAACCAAGATAAACTGTATTCTGAGCCATGTAACACAACTTAATAAATATAAAAGAACAGAAATCATTCAAAATATGTTTTCAGAACACAATGGAATTAAACTAGAAATCAATAACATAAATATACCTGGACATTTCCAAAATTTTTGTAGACTGAAAACACTCTTAAATAACACCTGGGTCAAATACATCTCAAGAAAAATTTAAAAATACCTTAAACTACATTAAAATAAAACAAAATGTCAAAATGTGTGGAATGTAATATTTACAGAATTTTGTTCTTTTTTCCGAGACGGAGTTTCACTCTTATCACCCAGACTGGAGTACAATGGCGCAATCTCAGCTCACTGTAAACTCCTCCTCCAGGGTTCAAGTGATTCTCCTGCCTCAGCCTCCCGAGTATCTTGGATTACAGGTGCCCGCCACCACGTCTGGCTATTTTTTGTATTTTTAGTAGAGACGGAGTTTCACCATGTTGGCCAGGCTGGTCTTGAACTCCTGACTTCAGGTGATCCGCCCACCTCGGCCTCCTGAAGTGCTGGGATTACAGGCATGAGCCACCCAGCCTGACCTACTTACAGGAAAATTTTTTAGCATTGACTCCATATATCCAAAAAGAACAAAAATCTAAAATCAACAATCTAATCTTTCACCTCAGAAAGTCAGATAAAAGAAGAAAATTAATTTGAAGTAAGCGAATTAAACAAATAATAACAATTAGGTGAGAAATCAACAAAATTATAAACAAAATGAATAGAAAAGGAAAATAATATGCAAAGTGTCTTTGGCAAACCAGATTTCAATGGTTTTATGAAACAAAGAACCTAGAAAAGATGAAAGAGATTTTTCAAATCCATAGGCACCTAAGGTTGAAAATTGCAGTAAATGTGAAGATCTAATGTTGATATAATATCACATGCTTTCAGAGGTAAACTAGAAAAGAATTTCTATGAGTACAAAAATGTTCAAAATTTAGTATTTAATGGTTTATTAAGACAACTTATCAATTTTAAATATTTGATTGATTCTATGTTAAAGTCCTTTATAAACAGTAAAGAAAGTATTTTTATCATGATCCTCAGATTAAAAACAGCTGCTATCTTAGACATGTGATCTTAAGAAAATCTACCTGTATATTTCTACGAAACTGATGTGTTGAATTTAAAGAAACTAGGTGGGAATAGTGTGTCTAGAAGAGCAGTCGTTTTGGGTTATAACAATTCCTTAACAGCTAAAGCTGAACAAATTTTTGGTTTTGCAACACTTGCCTAAAATGTATACTAGTACTGACAGAACTATTACCCTGATGCATAACATACTGGTAATTAGCATGATAAACCTGCTTTTTGAACAATGAGAATATCAAAGGTAATGAGAGAGAGATTATGATAATGTGAAATAAAAATTAGTGCATAGACACTATTACCTAGTGTTACTTTGCACGATGTGAGAAAACTCAGAGAAAAGCTCAAAGCACCAACAGTGATATGTCTCTGTAACCCAAGGCTTTTCAGTCTGCTCTCTCTAGCTCATAAATCAGTGCTTCTCCAAGAGTGTCATGAACCCTGCACCCTCCTTGTCAATGTTGATTTCTGCACCCATCTCCCAGGCTGGCTAAATCAGGACTTTTGGTGGGTAGGGCCATGGACTCTATGTTTTCTCATGTATCGTTGTTTGAAAATAACTAAATTAAACTAAATTAAAGCTGTTTAATGACATGAATCAGGTATTCATTTTAATAAATATCAGGGTCTCAAAAAGTACCGTATATGTAGACTGAATCTCTTAATTATTACTACACTAAAATAACAATAAGGTAAATTATAAGGTTATGATATTTAAATGATTTTATACTAGCAACTATAATTTTGTGCAAGTTTTAGGATTATTATGTAAATGTCACATTGTGGGTTTCTGAAACATTAGGAAATTATGAAGCTTATTAATAAGAATATACTGTAAGAACTTGACTGTTAAACATAAATAAATCTTAGTCTAATGCAAAAAAAATTAGTGCAAACAAAGTCTGCAATGGAGTAAGACACAGAGGTCAGGCAGAGTAGCAGTTAGTTATAGAACATCTATATAAAAACTGCCCAACATATATTTTAAGTGATTTTTAACCAATATTTCTGATATTTCCACCTAATGGCACAAATAAATGTCTCACCAGCTGTTGCAAGTCGGGGTCCCTTGGAAAACCATTCTGAGATGGAGTTTAGAGTGCAAGTGTTTTATTAAACCATTCTGAGATGGAGTTTAGAGTGCAAGCATTTTATTAGAGAGCTGTTGGGTTCAACTGCTTTGGTAATAAATAAAGCAGCTAGGCAGAGGGAGAAGTTGAGCTGTGATACAGTCTCAGTGGAGGCATCAGACAAACCAACTGCAGCCAGAATAACCATTTATATTTATCCCCAACTGGGGTGAGAGAGCCAGATATTTATAGCCCTGTAGTGATTACCAGATGCAGGCTGCCCCTAGAAGAAGGTATGACCTTGAGCAGTGTACCTGTCTGCAGCCAAGGCAAGCCCAGCATGGGGCTGGCAGGTGAGGACTAGCTATGCAGACAGTTCTTCTAGCAGCTACATTCTTGAAGGGACAGCTGGGAGAAGCCTACTGCTTGAACCACTTGGCACCACTTAATTTAAAAATTCAGGGAACAGTTAGCCCAGGAATCTAGTCAACCTCTCTTCTTAGGGAAATTTGGTTGAAGCGGATTAGTGAGAAAACCACGTACACTACTGCTATGACTGGTCTTAGAACCACAAACATTATTTTTATTTTTCTCCTCTATCATCCATTCTATATGCGCTTCCCTTCAACACTGACTAGCAGTTTTGCTGATCTTCCTGGCATGATGAATACCGTAATCTCTGAGAAATTTGAGCCCTTGTTCCTCATGTTCTTATCAAATTAAGGTTGTTGCATTTGTCCATTCACCAATATTGGGAAAGAGAATATCAAGAGAAACTAAATGTACTACCTGAATGCTAAATATGTTTCTTCTTGCCACCACTATGTGACAACAGACCCACTGGATATTCCTGATCAGATTTGATGAACTCTGCCAAAATGGTGACTTTCCTTCTTGTCTCCTTTTTCCCTCCAACCCTGTCCCTTGAACAAGAATCCTTAGATTCTCATCCCACGCATAATCATGGTGAGTAGGTCCTACAGCTCCTGTGAAGTATTCTCAATTTCCCTCCTTATTAGGCCCTGCTTGTCTTTAGCTGGGTTATATCATGACTTAACCCTAGAGACCAGTAGGAGAACTGGGGACAAATCTTGAGGTGCACGAAGGAAGCCTTTTCACCATCTTCAAAAGAAGGGTAGACTGTTAGCCTTAAATAAGAAGCAGTAAGCCACTTCACCCTCAAGGCTTAGGGGAATTTAGGGAATTCTAGGTCCAATAAATCTAGATGTCCCCATCGCATGTGTCAAGGTCACATTCTTTCCTAACTGGAGTCTTGGTCCTAGCATAGCAAACCTACTTATATTGAGAGTTAAACCATCTTTGAAGCTCTGCCACTCCTGTGATTAAGTCCTGCACCTAGTCCCCAACTTTCTCTGACTCTAACTTCAGAAAGTGAAATTTTATTTATGTGGTAAAAGTCCCCTAGCTTTCACACTTAGCTTTCAATTATCAATTAATCACTCTGAGCCTCTCCCTTTCTTTTTTCTAAGGCAATAGCACTTATCTGACCCACAAGTTTTATGTCCTTATAGGTACCTTTATCCAATATTTCTCACACACCATACCTGACACAACACACCATTTAATGCAATCCCTTCTACCAATATACCAGCTTGGATAATTGTAAAGGTATTTTGTTTCAGGAGTTGTCTGTATTTTAATGACTCTCTCTCTTTCTAGGTTAAGGTGACTTCTCCCTCCCCATTACATTCAGACCAAGTTTGGCGCTTTCTAGACTACTGGTACTTCTATTCTACTTGTGTTTCCTTACACCATGCCCCCACCTTGGTAATAACTCCATCCACAAATAAATCCTTCCCAAGTCATCCTAACTTGAGTGTATCCTAACTTATACAAACATCTTTTCTAATATTATCATCAATTGTCTGTAAACTCCCTCAGTGTTATATATCTGTGCCTGATTTGTATTTGTGTCTCCAACGTGCTCTAAGTGTTCAATAAGTATGCAATAATTGTGTTAAGTGAGGCTTTTTATCAAACAGATACACAGGATTTCTACTTAGGTCAATACTATTATCATTTGAGGTTCCGATTACTTCCTACTTTTGCCACGGTTGGAGAGAGTATCTTAAATGCAGTGACATTCACTGCCTGTCATATTTTATTTATAAATATAATATTGTCTAACTCATATTTTCAGTTATGTGGCCTTATTATGTAATGCAGAGACCATTTAACTAGATAATGAGAAGTGATAATTACTTAAGAGTCCAGTATGTGTGTGTTCTGGTACTTGGTCTCAGGGCCTTATTTCTACATCTGTGCAATAAAAAAGTGGGAAAATAAAAATATCACTGAATACTTTACAGTTCTAATCTTTTGTAGTGCTCTGATGCAAAAAGTTGTAAAATAAGCACATTACTTAGAATTTTTATTTTGTGTATCTCTTAACTTCTGGGACATTGTATTTTTTACAGGTAATGTTCTAGGCAATTGATCATTATTTCCTGCCTTTTAATCGATGACAAAAAATGATAACCAGACAATGTCACTGAGACTTTGGCAAAGACAACAATGAGAGGTTCATAAATACTGCATTTCTGCCTTTGGTGAGGTGGCCATTGCTCAAAGTTAATGTCTTTGGCAGACCTAGATCGCCCAATGTTGATTGACTGACATAAAGGTCAACTGCTTAATTTATAAGCTGTCCTTCCAGAATAAAATCACGATGCTGACCTACTGGCAAGATGGGGCTGCCATTGACACTGTTGTATACAATAATATAGTAATGATAATTTTAAAATAATCCATTCACCTTATTTTGATCCTTGCTTCTTGTGATCAATGGCACTTAAGCCAGGTCAAGATAAGTTGTAGACACCCCTAAGGATATAGAACAAATTAAGGCCAACTTGCTAAAAGCAGTATTAACTTAATGTGCATAAGCCAGATATAAATAGGTACTAACTATTACTCATACCACCACAAGCAAGTTCAGGATGGAATTTTCTATTAGTTCAAAACTGTTCAAACACAAATTCAGTCATTTAATCACTCCATGCATTGACATTATTTTAAAATTTTATCTCAGAAGTCATTTTGTAATATCACAAAATCTATTCTACACGGTTTTTATCATTGAGATAATCAGGGTAATTTATGAAAGCTGGTAACTATAGCTGAATATTACTTAATTTCTTGAATTCTTTGAGAATATGAACACATCATTTAATTCAGAGTTTCTCAATCTAGGCACTATTGACAGTTTGGGCTAGATAATTCTTTCTTGGAAAGGGTTGTCCTATGCATTATACAATGTTTAGCATCAGTACAGGCTTCTACTTACTAGATGTAGTAGCAACTCTCCTCAGTTGTGACAACCAAAAATGTTGCTAGACATTGCCAAATATAACCCTGGGGGAAAATCATCCCCAGTTGGGGAAGACCACTAAGTACTACCATTGAGGTATGTATGGAAGTTTTTTGGATTTTTTAAAAAACTTTCTATGCTTTCAAAGTGTTTTATTTAGTAATAATGTGTTAGTAAATTTGCCATTAATTGATTAGGCTACTCCTTGCAGTTTTGCCTCAAGGGAAAAGGCAAACCTAAAATATCTGGAAGAAGGGATGAGAATAGGGACCGTAATGAAAATAGAATTGAAATAGCTAAAAGAGATGTCTTGAACTTTGACACCTTAGTAAGGAAAAACATAAACATTAAGTCTGAAGATGAAAACTGATTTTACTAGCATGGCATCATCCTTTAAAAAAGTTATCAAGCAAATCTTCTAGTTATTTGAAGTCAGATGTTATACAAGTTCAACATTTATATCTATATTGCCAGGAGACAACACTTTCAACCAAGTTTGCATGGCACTATCTTCTCATGTTGGTTTATTCACCTGAAAATGTAGGGCAGGTCTTGTTATCTCTCCTTTCCTGCTGCATTTTTAACCCCCAAACTAAAAGTCAAAATGCAGTGACAGTTCTCTGAAATGCAAAGAAGTTAGAGGATGAACTCCAGCAGGGAAAAATAATGTTTTACCAATGTTGCTGCCACATACCAAGTGGGTAGAGTGGGACATTATATAAAAGTCATGCTCAAAAGTCAGTAGAAAAGAAGATAATGGAATGACTAGACTTAGTGAGATCTACACAATAAAACTCTTCATGGCACACACAATTTTCAGTTGTGACAGTCGAATTGAATTAGTACTCTTTATATTGTTTAAAAAAAATGGTCACTTAGTTCATCCATTTTGGGACATGTCCAGGAAAATCATGAACTTATACAATTCTACAATAGAAATCATTAAGACCCATAGCAGGTTTCCTATGTATGGAATTATCCAAGTAATTTCAGCAGAAGTCCTGGAGTCAGAAAGGCACTGCAAGAAGTCCAGGAGAGCGGCAGTTATTTTTAGCTTAAAAATTCACATTTTCAGTAGCAACTAAATACTCAGACCAAATACTGAGCACAAATTTTCCAAAAAATGCAGAAAATTTGCACTTTATACAAAATTTAATTTTTTCACTTGAGTGAAAATTACCTAGGTAGTTGGAAACAAAACTTGGACCACACAATTTTATCTTTTTTTGAGCAACAAAAAGTATTATCTCAAGCATATACCAAGGCCAATAAAAGGAGAATTATTTAATATGCCAACCAAATTAACATCTTGTCTTAAGATCCATTCAGACTCTAAAGAGCAAATGGCCAGAATATCGTAAGAAATCTTTTTATTTTTTTTTCCTGTTTTCCAGGTTGAAATCAAAGGGCAGGTGCGCAAGCTTGATCCAGCAACAAGTCGACTTGTCTACCTGCCCAAACTATTTTACAAATGGAGGCCCATCCTGTCCATGACTGTCCATAACCCACTATAAGAAAAGAGGACACTGCCTGAAATGGCAAAATAACAAGTAACAAAGAAGAGACTTTTAATATTTGCCTTAATTCATTGCCTACTTGGTTTGAACCTGTAATAGTTGCAAAGCTCTGTGTGAGATAATTCAAATACGAATTAGATTCCCTATTCTCAACTTGTTCACAACGTAGTGGGGGAGATTAATGCACAAGCAATTAACTAAAACAGACTTCATTAAAATACTCTTAACTAAAACACAAAGGAAATAATTAAACATAGAACATTGTGGAAAAGGGAACAGGGATAAAAATGGCGAATTGCTTTTTTCTTAGCTCTGGCAAGCTTTTGAAAATTTTTTGTATGTCCATATTCATAAAGTGAGTTAGTATTATTTTTGTTGCTTATTCTATGTCCTTATATAAAAATTGTAGATAGTATCCTGCAAAGATATAAGTTATTATGTTGAGGGTCATTTCAGGAAGGGTCAGTTTCTCTTTCAGCTATTTAAACTGAACCTAAGGTCTTCTTTGAAATTGGTGTTCAAATCAGCATCTCAGAAGTGTAAGAAAAACCCGAGCATGTATCAGAATTTTCCTTTGATTTTTTTGAAAGTGTCATTATATTAGAATGGTGGCAACACTTAAGAGTTTTAAAATATATTACACCAGAAAGCTTAGAACTTAATATTTATTCAACCAGAAAATGCCATTATCCAATAAAAAATTAAGAAGCAGATGTAGTATTACTTTTCTTATAATGTTTCTACACATTTATAATTGTATTTTTATGTTTATATATGTGAGTGAATTTTGAGTGGGCATGTGTTTAATGACATATAGGTTGCAGGCTTATAGGAATGAAAACAAATTATTCTGTTTCTAGTCTCCATTATACTTAATTTTAATCCCAAACTGACTATTTAAATAATAGAATGCACTTACATTCTAAATTATAACATATTTATGCTAATACAGGGAATTATTATATATGCTATTTTTATAACTTTTGGCTTTGACATATTACATAGTTGTAAAAATAGGTTCTTAGAGAATCTAAGGTGACTGGTTTAACAGTAAGTGGTTATAAAAATGACTTATCTGAGATTTTTAAAAGATAAAAGTATTCTTGAACCAGTATTATTTTTACTAGAAGATAACTTAAAAGTAAGTCCTGACTAGAAAACATAAAACAAGAGCTTTATCAGGTTGAGAATTAAGGTTTCAGAAAATTGCTTCGTAAGTTTCATACACATACAGTTAAAACTGAAACACTTGCATATCATTTAAACCAATTTGATATCAAATGTAGCAAGATGATATTTGAGAAGCAAATCAAAAATAAAATTCTGAGAAGTTCTTGTAGTTTAAATAGCAGTCTCAAGGGGGAATTAAACAGTGAGGTGGGTAATGATATGTTTTTACATATGATTAAATTATTGATTTATAAAATAATGCAGAAGTTGATGTTCTGCCTTTCTACATATGAGTACAGTGCACTTGGAATGATCATAATTTATCCACATAATGTTTTAAAAGTGTAACAAGAATCTCTATATATTGGGCTGCATAATTAAGAGACGACATTCCAACCACGATCACTAACAAATGAGCTTGGTGATAAACACCTACCCAGAAAGACCAAATTTCCTAAGAAAGACTATAAGACACTTGGCACTTCTGTTAAAAGATTGTAACTCTTTTTTTTTTGCATTTCATTTACTAAATTGAAATCTTTATAACATGCTTGATCATGGCAGTTTTGCTAAACAAATTTCCCACTGAAGAGGTACAAAGTAAAATATCAGCAAAGCTGATTGGTCTTTAGGCAAAATATATTTGTAAAAATCAATTCTGGCACAGGAAAATATCTATGTTATATTTTATCTCCATGAAAAACTGATGTTAAAAAATAGTAATTATGCATCCAAGGAACAATTTTTAAAAACCACATCTTAAACAATGGTGTCATTATCACAATCATCCAAAAACAAAATGAATATAAATGATAACACAGTCATTTCAAATACACTGAAAGCAGAATTATATGGTAGAAATAGCACTGTATTCATGTACAGTTTTAATTCATTAAATGCTATTCAGGAAAATGGATACACCTTAGCAGGTGCTGAATACAAAGCAGAAAAATGAACATTATTTTAGATGCACCTGGGTAGTCACAGCTTGGATAACAATAACTTGAAGAAATTCAATCATTATAGATTGTACGCAATAAGACACCACTACTTTTCTCTGGAAAGTTTCATTATTTCCTGTTCTGTTATATCTTTTCAAATTTAAATGGAATATCATTTGCAGTTTTAATGATGTGATATAACACACTAAATACGCATGTAGATATGGAGTATTTTAGAAGTGTCACTTGAGAGTTATTCTGCAGCCCTCTATTAAGTATATAAACAGACATTACAAATAAAAATATAATTTTTGAGTGCTTATTGCCAAGTACTTTACAGATATTAATTACCAAGTTACTTGATCCAGCAAATTTAAGCTTCCTGAGAACCCTGGCCTAACAAAAACCCTAGGAGATAGGGCACAATGATTGCACAGAGTTTTATACACAAAGGTAAGATATGATGTTAAATATCTTGCCTGTTTCAAACAGAGGACATAATAGTAGGTGTAGGATTTGAACTGAGTAGTATGGGGTGAAACTGTCATTTTTAAACATGATGCTATATATGCTGAATATAGTTCCTAACAGACACTTGGAGATGTCCCTTTCCCAAAACTAACATAGTTATGAAAAACCTTGTTGATATTTTCTAAACATTAGAGAATAAACTTAAATCTACTCTATTTTTATTATTGTTGATTTTTTCTTCTGGCCAACATCTTCCTGTTGTTTGTAGATAGGATGTTGCCAGCCAGGTTCAGGTTTATTTTGTCCATGCTCAGTAAATCAATCACAATCACACTGGTTTTGCAAAAGAGAAAAGATTCATTTACAAGGGCACCAACCATGGAGGTGGGAGAACAGCTCTCAAATCCACCTCCCTGAAGATAAGGCTTAGGGATATTTATGGGTTAGGGAAATGCGCTGGTCTAAGGCATAGGGAGAGGTGACTGGCAGTGGGGAAAAATGAAGTAACAGACTTATTTTGGGCAACTGTAGTTGGGGTTCATGGCATTTCATAGGACTTATATATGCAGAAAATGGTTGCATTAGCATGATCTGAGGGTGGAGTTTTTGGCCCTCTAATATCGAAAACTACCTCTAGGGCACTTGCACAGGCCCAGTGAAGGGTCAGTGATCTCAACTGCTTTGAACTGGACAGGAGTTGGCCCGTGTTCCTGAAAAGCAACTGAAATGACCATTACCACGATGACCTATGAATGCTATCTATAAAATAGATAGTGAAAGTTAAGTTTCAGCATTCAGCAGCCAAGTTGTAGCCTTCAGCTACAATAGCCTCACCTTTTTTTTGGAAAAAGGAAACAAAAACAAAAATCAAGCACCAAAAGCAAGCGGGGCAGGAAGACATAGTCAAATTAATGCCTGGGTTTCAAGGACCTCAGCGATAATCTTCTCAGGTCAATTTTCTTTGGCAGAAATATTTACTTGATGAGAAGAGAAAGAAGAAGAAAAAGAGGAGGAGAATAATTAAAGAAAGAACAATTCCAGTCTATATTAAATAAAGGAAAAATGGAAAAGAAAGCAAAAACTGAAGGCCAAAGGCCTTTTACCAAAACCTGGTCAGGCTGTTCCTGCATTAAATGCACACATTGAAATTTGAGGGCCCCTTTATGGGATAGGATAGAACTGAATGAAGAGTATCCCTGATAACAAAAAGACTGAAAAAGAAACAAAGAAAAGTTTCTTTGAAATAGTTGAAACTCCTACTCCACACCATTCAGGTATCTGAAATGTAAAAAAATAATAATAATAATACAAACTCCCCACATTTGGTTATCCAGGTAAATACAGAGACACACAAAGAATCTATTCACTCTGTTTCTGAAAACCACCTTTAAGTAAAATTGTCTCCAGCCAGAGGGGGAAGAGAAAAGAGAATTCACATGGGTTCTGTACAGCTATTTTAGGGAGTAACAATCAAAGAATGAATGCAGTAATCAAGAGATACATGGGGAATACAATCCAAGTAAATAGAAACAAGAAGAAAGCTTAAAGAAGAAATTCACCAAGTGCTTAAATAAATTAAGTAGACAAGTGCATCAAGTACTCAACCAAGTAGACCATGAAATCTATGAAAAAGAGATCGATGACGAGATAATCAGAAAATTGATGAGGTTGTAGGAGAGCTAGTAGTAGTTAGAAAACAAAGTGAGGAGAATGGTGCCATCAGTGATAGTAGGTATATTAGAAACAGGAAGGAGGAATTGGAAAATCATTTCTAATGATAAGATATCTGTCTTGAGACTATCAGAGACTGAAGAGAGGAAAGACAAAGCTAGAGAAAAAAGGGGTAGTGAAATAAATGCTAGATTTTGGGAATAGAAACATACGGAAAATTGGAGACTCCTTGACGCAGAAAGCAGAACAAATAGAAAAAAAAAGAAATTAAATATACGTTCTTGAAATGAGAAAATACCTGAATCTACACATTGACAAACTTCATTTTATTCCCAGAAAATTAATTTAATAGAGGACATTCGAAACTAGAACTTATCCTGTCGAATTATTGAATTATAGGGATAAAAAAACCACAATAATGATAAAGGCATGCAAACAAAAGAAGCAAGTCACCTATAAAGAAAAAAATCAAGAGGGCCTCAGACTTCTTAAAGGCAGTCATTGTGGATTGGAGTCAAGTCCGCCATGTTTCTAGGGAAAAGAAGAATACATTCAAATTCCATTCCTAGCCAAGTCACCCTTAATATGTAAAAGAAACAAAAAGACATTATCAGATTGTCTGCAATTTGAGAGACTTGCTTACCTGTAAGCAAATCTTTGTATAATTTATACAACTAAGATACTAACTGAAACAATGAAACCCTGATATGACAACTATTGAAACTAAAAAAAATAGAACTATAGAAATAGAATAAACTCACCAGTTACAAGGAAAAGTATGTCTTTAAAAAAAAAAGTTGTAAAGGATGAGTTCATGTCCTTTGGAGGGACATGGATGAAGCTGGAAACCATCATTCTCAGCAAACTATCGCAAGGACAAAAAACCAAACACTGCATGTTCTCACTCATAGGTGGGAATTGAACAATGAGAACACTTGGACACAGGAAGGGGAACATCACACACCAGGGCCTGTCGTGGGGTGAGGGGATGGGGGAGGGAAAACATTAGGAGATATACCTAATGTAAATGACGAGTTAATGGGTGCAGCACACCAACATGGCACATGTATACATATGTAACAAACCTACACGTTGTGCACATGTACCCTAGAATTTAAAGTATAATAATAATAATAAAAAAAAATTCAAAAAAATTGTATAGAAGTGGCATGTTTAAAGTAAAGTAATTTGATTAAAAATATTATTACCAGAGGGGCTTCAAGATGGCTCATTAGAGACATCTTTTACCTTTTCCAAGGTAAAATCCAAAATTGTGAGTAGATAATTTCACTTCAAATACATTGTCCAAGAGAAAACACTGGAATTCAACAGAGAAATGATAGGAAACACCTAAAGCAAGTAAAGGGAAGAAGGCAGCTAGCATGCTTATCTGATACTGGCTGACAGAGATTCCCCAATACAGGGAAAGGGTAAGAGAGAGGCCCCAGAAGTCCACATTCCAACCACTGACTCTTAGAATCCTAGCCACAGGAGAGTGTGGCTCATGGGCCCTGAGGTTTATATAAGGACTTCTTTGGAAGTCGCATTGCTCCCAAGATGGTGCTCATGCTGAGTCCCACAATTCCCGGAATCCTTGGCAGTGGCAAAACAATGCCTTTGTAGAGCACTGCCCACACCCCACTGGACTCTGGTCTGTCCTGCAACCAGGGAAAGGTAGCAGCCAAAGATAGCAATCCTTCTTACCCTCTTACTATCCTTATACATCCTCTTGCCAAGGGGTGGCCACACAGTCTCATATACCCAAAGGACAAATTCCACTCCCCCTAATTGCTTTGGTTATAGACTGCTGTGGACCAAGATACAGGCAAAGCTTCAAATCCCCAGCTGGCTGTCTACAATTGCTCCCAAGGAAAGCAACTCTGACTTCCCCAACAGCAAGGTCACAACATAGCCATTGCTGCTTCCACCTCAGCATTCTGCTAGTGGTTTGCAATTCACCTCACTGCTGCATACCATAGCCAGTGTATTTTTCCCACTGCGGGAGCGAGGGTGGGGGTGGGGGCTGAGGGAACAGCCCCCCCAGGCTCCATGCTTCCCAGTACCTAGTTATACCATCCAGGAGCTTGGGAATCACCCAGCCTGGTCCACCAGGGATGGCACATGAGCACTTCCCAAGTACAGGAAGAGAATTAAACATCCAGATACAGGTAGCCTAGAGATCTCCAAATAAATATAACACACAAACGTTTTCATGGCACATTATCGTCAACTCTCTAAAGTCGAAGACTTTTTTGACTAAAGTCAAAAAACAGCAAGAGACAAGTGTTTAGTGATCTATAAAGAAATTTCTGTCATGCTAAAAGCAAATTTCTCAGTAGATACCTTACAGAACAGGAGAAAACATTATAATGTATTAAAAATGATGTAAGAAAAAACTGCCAGCCGGGCGCAATGGCTCACGCCTGTAATCCCAGCACTTTGGGAGGCAGAGGAGGGCGGATCACGAGATCAGGAGATCGACACCATCCTGGCTATCACGGTGAAACCCCGTCTCTACTAAAAATGCAAAAAATTAGCCAGGCTTGGTGGTGGGCTCCTGTAGTCCTGGCTACTCGGGAGGCTGAGGCAGGAGAATGGCGTGAACCCGGGAGGCGGAGCTTTCAGTGGGTGGAGATCGCGCCACAGCACTCCAGCCTGGGCAACAGAGCAAGACTCCATCTCAAAAAGAAAATAATAATAAATAAATAAATAAAAGACTGCCATCCAAGGATACTATGTCCAGCAAAAATGAAGGAGAAATAAAGTCTTTCTAAGACAAGCAAATGCTCAAGGAATTCATCACCACTAAACTGGACCTATAATTAATGCTGAAGAGAGTCTTAACCCTGGAAGTGAGTGACATTTACCTTCATGAAAACACACAAAAATACAAAACACATGGGTGAAGCAAACATCCAAATAAGAAAGAGAAAGGACTCAAATGGCACCACTAAAGAAAACTACCAAAGTACAATAATAATTAAGAGGAAAAGAAAGGAAAAAAGTACATACAAAACAACCAGAAAACAATTAAAAATATGATAGAGACAAAACCTCAGATATCCATAACCTTGAATGAAAATAGATAAAATTAAGCAGGGCACAGTGGCTCACGCCTCTAATCCCAACATTTTGGAAGGCTGAGGCGGGTGGATCACCTGAGGTCAGGAGTTTGACACCAGCCTTGCCAACATGGTGAAACCCCATCTCTACTGAAAATACAATAATTGGTTGGGCTTGGTGGAGCATGCTTGTAGTCCCAGCTACTGGGGAGGCTGAGGCATGAGAATTGTTTGAATCCAGGAGGTGAAGGTTGCAGTGAGCCAAGATTGCATCACTGCACTCCAGCCTGGGTGACAAAGCAAGACTTTGTCTCAGAAAAATAAAATAAAATAAATAGATTAAATTCTCAATTTAAAGACATAGGCTGGTTAAATCAATCAAAGAACAAGATCTAAATATATCTTGTCAATAAGAAATGCATTTTACTTGTAAAGATACATATAAACTGAAAGCAAATGGATGGAAAAAAATCAACACAAATGAAAATGAAAAGTGAACAGAAGTAGCTACATTTATATCAGATAAAACAGACTTTAAGTTAAAAAATAACCAAAAACATCCAAAAGAGGTATTAAATAATAATAAAGGGACCAAACCAGCAAGAGGATTAACAATCCTAAATATATATGCTTCCAATACTGGAGTACCCACATTCATAAAGCAAATATTATTAAATCTAAAGAGAGAAATAGGCTCTGATACAATAAAAGTAGGAGACTCATCTCACTCTTAGCATTAAACAGATAATCCAGACAGAAAAATCAAGAAACATTGGATTTAAACTGAACTTTAGATCAATGAACCTAACAGATGTTTACAGAACATTTTATCCAACAACTGCAGAATACACATTCTTCTCATTGGCACATGGAACATTCTCCAGAAAAATCATATGTTAAGCCACAAAACAAGCCTCAGCAAATTTCAAAAAATTAAAATTGTATCAAGCATCTTCTCACATCGCCTGGAATAAAATTAGAAATCACTACCAATGGGAACTCTAGAAACTATGCAAATGGATGGAAATTAAACAACATGAATCTGAACAACCATTGGGTCAATGAAGAAATTAAGATGGAAATTTTAAAAAGCTCTGAACCAAAAGAAATTGGAAACACAACAAACCAAAACCTGTGTGACACAGCAAAAGCAGTACCAAGAGGGAATTTTATAGCAATAAACACCTACATTATAAAAACAGAAAGTTTTCAAATAAATAATCTAATAATACACCTCAAGGATCTAGAAAAACAAAAACCAATAAAACCAAAATTTACAGAAGAAAATAAACAATAAACCTCAGACCAAAATTAAACAAAATGGAGACTAAAAAAAAAAAATAAAAGATGAATGAAATTAAAAGTTAGTTATTTAAAAAGATAAACAAAATGGATAAACTGCTCACTAAACTAACCCAGAAGAGAGAAGATGCAAATAAACAAAAGCAGAAATAAAAAAGGAGACATTACAACTGATATCACAGAAATACAAAGATCATCAGAGACTGTTATGAACAACTATACACTAAGAAATTGGAAATCCTAGAGGAAATGGATAATGTCCTGGAAACATACAACCTACAAAGAGTAAATCAGGTAGAAAACCTGAATAGACCAATAATGGGTAGGGAGATTGAATCAGTAATAAAAAATCCCCCAGTAAAGAAAAACCCAAGACTGAATAAATTCTCAGCTGAATTCCACCAAACATATATGTAAAAACTAATACCAATCTTCCTCAAACCATTCCAAATAATTGAAGAGAAGAAAATTCTCCCTAACTCATTCTACAAGGCAGGCCAGCATTACCCTGACACCAAAGCTAGACAAGTACACAACAAGAAAAAGAAAAGCACAGACCAATATCCCTCATGAACACTGATATAAAAATCCTCAATGAAACACTAGCGAACTGAATCCAACAACACAAGAAAAAGATGACACAACATATGCAGATAATAAATATGATATATCACATTAAAAGAACAAAGAACAAAAATCATAGTCATCTCAATAGACACGGAAAAAGCATTTGATAAAATTCAACATTCCATGATGATAAAAATGCTCAACAAACTAGGCATGGAAGTAATATAACTCAAAATAATAAAGGCCATATTTAAGGACTGACAGCTATCATTATATTGAATGGGAAAAAGTTAAAAGTTGTTCCTTTAAAAACTGAAAGAAAGTAAAAAATCTCTACAAGAAAAACTACAAAATACTGATGAAAGAAATTGAGGAGGAAACAAATGGAAGGATATCCCTTGATCATAGACAAGAAGAATTCATATTGTTAAAATAACCATATTAACCAAAGCAATCTATATATTCAATGCAAGCCATATACCTCCTGAGATATATGAAAGAAATGTCCAACATCATAAATCATCACAAATCAAAATCACAATGAGATATAATTTTACCCCAGTTAAGATGGCTATTACCAAAAAGATAAAAAAAAAAAAAACACACCAGATGTTGGCAAGGATGTAGAGAAAAGGAAACTCTTGTACACTGTTGGTAGAAATGTAAATTAGTGTAACCAATATGGAAAACAATACAAAGATTTCTGAAGAAACTAAAACTAGAAATACCATACAATCCAGCAATCCCAGTATTCAGTATTTACCCAAAGTGAAAAAAACACAATATATCAAAGGAACACATGCATTGCCATGTTGATTGAAGTACTTTTTCAGAAGAACAAAAATATGGAATCAGCCTATGTATCCATCAATAGATGAATGGATAAAGAAAATGTGGTATATATACACAATGGAATACTATTTAGCCATAAAAGAATGAAATCCTTACACTCGTAGCAATGTGGAGGGAAGTGGACATCATTATGTTAAATGAAATAAGCACATGTATAGCAGACATGTAATGCATACATATATAAACCAGGAGAAAATATTAAGATCACAAGTAACATTAACATCTGTATATTTATGCAAATATAAAACAAGAGATAATGTTAAAATCTGACAAAGCGGCATTCAAGAAAAAAAATGTTTTCTTAATTGAGGCAAAGAAAAGTACTTTGATGAGAGATAATGCTTGGGAAAGACATGTAAGTATCATTAATATGTCCCAAATTACACAATATTAAATATTTCTTAAGGTCTTGGAAATTCAAAGAAATTAGTCAGATACAATAGTCCTCCCTTTTCTGCAGTTTCGCTTTCTTTGGTTTCAGTTACCCATAGTCAACTGTGATCCAAAACTAAGTGAACACAGTATGAGAAGATATTTTGACAGAGAGAAAATATATTGACATAACTTTTATTACAATATACTGTCACAATTTCTCTATTTTATTTATGAGTCATTGTTAATATCTTAATGTGTCTAATTTATAAATTAAATTCTATCATAAGTAGGTATGTATAAGAAAAAAGGTATATATAGGGTTTGGTACAGTACACTGATGGTCTTGGAACAGTTTCCCCATGAGTAATGGGGAATGACTGTATACAAAAGTAGATATATATTTTGTATATAGTGGGCGCACTGTATGTATGAGTTCCGAATTTGTGAATTCAACCAACCCCAGGTGAAAAATATTTGGAAAAATATTCCAAATAATTTCCAATACCAAAACTTGACTTTGCCATGCACTGAGGCAATGAGTACTAGAGTTTGTTTGTTTGTCAATTTTTTTTTAATTTTCTTTTCTTTTCTTTTTCTTTACCTTTTTTTTTTTTTTTTTTTTTTTTTTTTTGAGACATAGTTTTGCTCTGTCATCCAGGCTGGAGTGCAGTGGCACGACCATAGCTCACTGCAGCCTCAACCTCCTGGACTCAAGCAATCCTCCCCCTCTGCCTCCAGAGTAGCTAGGACTCAGGCATGCAACGCCACCACTGGTTAGTTTAAAAAAATTTTTTTTTGTAGAGGCAGGATCTTACTATGTTGCCCAGACTAGTCTCAAACTCCTAGCCTCAAGTGATCCTCCTGCCTCAGCCTCCCAAGGTTTTGGGATTACAGGCATGAGCCACCATGTCTGTCTTGCATTGAGTACCACTTTGAATCTATACTAATGACATTATGAGTAAGTATTCACTTGTGTATTATAAGTAATCTAGAGATGATTTAAAGAATACAACAGGATGTACATAGAATCTATGCAAATACCACACTATTTTACAGAAGGGTCTTGGGTATGGTCTTAGGTTTGGTATTTGTGAGGGGTCCTGAAACCAATCTTCCATGGTTACTGAGCAATGACTGTATATAAAAAACATTTCTATCAATTCTTAGAACAAATATACAAAAATAAATAATGCTCTGAATAACATAATTAATATGGTTGATTTAAAAGAAATATAAGAAACTCTATATGCAAGAAACAGAGAACATATCTTCTCAAGGATCCATAAAACATGAATTTAGCTTGAAATTGGCAAGGTAGAAAAATAATCTACTACTCAGAATTAGTTAATAAATGTGTAATATTGATGTCTTTCCTCTATGTTACCTAAGCAACTACTCGAAAAGGATCCCCTTGTTAATCCACTTTATATTCAAATATTTCATTCAATTTTTGATATAAAATAGAATATTTTTACCTGGCCGTTTATACCTGGTTTATGTGATTGTATAAAATGAGGCATTTAAAAAGGATTCTTTCCACTAAGAACATTCAAAATACTTGCATATGTGCTTCATGTTCTGAGAAGCAGCATGCAATGTCAGTGATTGATGAGCTAGTTATTTCAGAATTCCATTTTGTGATAGTATTTCAGAAATGTTAAG
Organism: Homo sapiens; assembly: GCF_000001405.40. Taxonomy (NCBI): domain Eukaryota; kingdom Metazoa; phylum Chordata; class Mammalia; order Primates; family Hominidae; genus Homo; species Homo sapiens. The sequence continues at coordinate 88,979,841 of NC_000003.12, forward strand.
TCTTGTGGCAGTTTTGCCAGATCAAAAAGCCATAATTCAGTGTCGACCATAATGCTGAGCAGTTAGTTCTGGCCCTGCAGTTTGATGCCATCTTTACATTCAAAGATCTATACCCCATACACCACTGTCACATAAAAAACACCCCATCGCACTGTACAATTTGGCATGATTGTCTAAGAGGCTTGGACTGAACTGGCATTAATTAGCTATGTCACACTATTATTCATTCCCCATGAATTTGCTCTTACCATTCAGATCAGGAATGAATTCACTAGCACAGCAGTATGTAGAAACAATATATGATCTACTCGATTGTGTTTGGTCTCGTATTTTTACACCGAAGAGTCAGTGTTGCAGAATTTAAAGCGCTCTAAATGCTATTCCATCTTTCATACCTTCCTTTCATTTTTTAGCACAAATAATTCACATGTTAAGAGAATCTCCTCAGTCTGAAAATTGCAAGTGAAGGCCAGTTCCCTTTCTTCCCTTTATGGCAGCCCTGGTTTAGTCTCTGCCACATTCTCCCTGTGCCTATCACATCCTCCTTTCTGTCAAAGGCCTACCTTCCTGGATTCAAATGTTTGAGGACTATTTCATCCTGGCTTCATATATAAATTCAGATATATATCCCTATTTATTCTGCATTGTGACCTTCTAAAAGGGAGAATATATAGTTCATGACTGTGCTTTTAATTAAATAATATGGAAAGATAGCTATTTACTAGGTAACATAAGAACCTTAGGTGACACCCTAACAATGTTCATTTTAAACTATTGTTTAGCATCTTAAAAGCATTTTGTTGCTATTTTTTTGTCCAGTATTCTTGTTGCTGCCAGTAACCAGAAAATTATTTTGATGATGATGATGATGATGATGATGATGATTGTTATTATTTTGAGATGGAGTCTCCCTCTGTTGCCCAGGCTAGAGTGCAGTGGCACAACCTTGGCTCACTGCAGCCTCCACCTCCTGGGTTCAAGTGAGTCTCCTGCCTCAGCCTCCTGAGTAGCTGGGAATATGGGCTCCCTCTACCATGCCTCGCTAATTTTTTAGTATTTTTTAGTAGAGACAGGGTTTCACCATGTTGGCCAGGCTGATCTCGAGCCCCTGAGCTCAAGTGATCCACACCCCCTTGGCTTCCCAAAGTGCTGGGATTACAGGCATGAGTCACAGCACCCAACCAGAAAATTATTCTTTCTTAAAACTTGTCTACATCCAAGCAAGAATATAGAACAGAGACTATTTAATTTTGTAACCCAGAATCAGACTAGTCCCACAAAACTGTGGACAGTCTTCCAGATTGCGTGTGTTGAAAATAGTTGAAAAGGAAGAGTACTGCATAATCTTTTTTCTGCTAAGGAGTCTGAAACATAGACTAAAAAGAAAAAAAAGTTTGCTAGAATGTCACTGTTAAAATGTATGTTATTAGAAGTTGTTTTAAAAACTCTACTATTAGAAAATATTGGTGGTTATTTGTTAGGAAGCATTAAACTAGAAGTGACAGAAAATTTTGACTCAGCAATAAAAAATACTTATCTCTTAAAACAAAAAGTCCTCAGGTAGGGCCTAATGGAGTATTCTAAAGACATAATGAAGGACCTTTAATCCTCAGTATAACAGCTTAGCTTTTGACATAATGGGAAGATCGTTGCTACAATTTCAGACATTATACGCAGTCATTTTTCTATCCAGTAAAAGGAAAAAAAGAAAAAAAGAAACCTTTTCCAGGAGATTTGAGAAGACATCTTCCTATATTCCTTGGCCAGTATTATGTCACATCTCTAAGGTTAAACCAATGGCAAGTAAGGGGAGTAAGGCCACCATGACTGCCTTACGCAAATCAGAAATTACCCTTGGACCTAAGAAAAGTGACATCCTTCCCTGAGTGGCAATGGGGATTTTGCTATCAATAAAGGGGATTAAGGAAGCAATTAATCATATCTGGGAAATTCTTTTGCTGAATTTACCAATACATATTTTGTTTCTTATGAAAGTGTAACTCAAGGCAAGTTAATAATCTTTAGTGGAATTTATAACATTGATAGGATAAGGCCCATATGACTAAGGCAAATAACAAGGGATTAGACCAGAAAAAAAAATTCATGTAGTGAAGATTTCATACTCATCTGACACATTTATGTTAATGGGAACTGGCAAAGGGGGTTAGGGAGACTCAGTAGTTAAGGAGATGAAAGAGAAGGGAAGGTACTGAAAACACAATGTTTAAGGCGACAAATTTATCTTCTCATTTTGTTCTTAATTTAGACAAGCACAAAGAATTCAAAACATCTTTGCTCAGATTTTACAGATTCCAGGCAAATAGTTTTTCCTTCTATATTTCCCTCTCTTCATTCTGCAATAAATTTAACAAATATTGTTCTAGCTGACTGGACTGTGGCCATGAATGACATGGGAGAGAAATGTAAGGCAGGGTAATAAAGCAGGTGGGGTACACTTTAAAATCATGTATTTACATCACACTGTGTTGAAATGATATTTGAGCAAAGACTTTCTACTGTTCAAATCAGTTTGGTCTTAGTGTTAAGTTGTAACAAAAGTGTGAAGTCTTTGAGATAATAAACATCCCTCACAAAATATGAAAATGTACTTATTAACTATTCTATAAAATCTATTTTGTTAAACTATGTTAGAAAAACCTTTTATTCTAATTTCTCTTTAAGTATCTCTAGAGGTAGCTTTTGGTTTCTGATATGTACTAAAAATTACCATGAAAATTGATTTCTTCCTTAAATTATAACCAGTTCTAGGTTTATTCAAGCTACTATGTATTCTTTTAAGTTCTGCCACTCACTTGGCTAAACACTTGGCTTTCTAACTGGCTAAAATAGAGCCTCCTTATTTTCTTTCTGGGAAGGCTATTGTTCACTAAATGGAAGACTTGAGAAGAAGAGGGACACAAGTTTATGAGGAATTGAAAGGTGAAGGCTTCACCCACTTCCAAAATAGCCAATAATCAATCTTAGTGATCAAAGGTGTAAAAGATTGCCTTAGTATCCAGGTGGCTCTCTAGAAAAGCTATTGATTTATTTTCTGTGAAATAGAGAAAGCAGTACTCTTGGGCATAATTTTAAATCAATCAATGTTTATTTTTGATGTCTTTTGATGCCTTCCTCTTATACATTCTCTGGATACCTAATGCACTTGTTATCTGGTTATCCTTTCCCAAATTGTCCTAGGCTTTGAAGGTTTTGAATCTCTTCTTGTCATCCTTGTACATAGACCTCTAGGTCCATGCCAGGTTACAGTACTAACTTGATAGATTATTTTGCACAAAAGCAAATATAGAAAAGGATATTATCATTTGTTCTAAGTTATATGCTCAGATTTTTTCATGAGTCTTGTACATCTTAATCCAAATGGAGGAGTGGATAGTAATAGACATACAGGAAGCATCTTATAAAACAGGTGTGCTTCAAATCATAGTTCTGGCCAGAACATGAAGGCAGCACTCCCTAGGTTTTACTCTGTAGAAAATATTTCCTCTTCAATTTGTTTTCTATCTCTCATTTCTAGAAATTTGAATTGCAGTATGATGTAATAGAGATTTTAAAAACTCCTATAGGCAGGATATAGAAGTTTTAATGAATTGATTGATAGTGTGGAACTTAGATTATAAGGCATACTACTCCCACCTAGAATTATTAGCATCCCCCTCCCCACCACTGCTAGAAATGTTTGGAAAATTGGGGGTATTTTAGAAGCAACACATACTTTGGGTGAGATCTCATACTAGTGGATGGAGATGCAACACATACTTTGGGTGAGGTCTCATACTTGTGGATGGAGATGAGCATGTTGAATATTCTTCAAGCGTAAGGGAATTTGTGTATTATAAAAACCTCCCACCCAAAATGCCCATAGTGCTCTTGTAAAGAAATGCTGAAACATGTAAGTTGGTAGGAGCAGTGAAGGGAGGAGAAATAACACTATTGAATATGTGGTGGTGAAAGCAAGCAGGTGTGGTGGCTAGGTTAGGGGAAGTAGGAAAGAAGACAAACAAGCATGGGCAAAGTATCTGATCTGCTTCAAATACAAATGTAGGTAACCTTTTTATACTTTTCACATTAACAGAGCAATTCTCATTTTTACCACTGAAAACACTGAAGCTCAGAGATGTTAAATAATTCATACAAATTCAACATATTAGTAAGGGATGAAGTCAATATTCAAACACAGTTTCATTTAACTCTAGAGTTCACATCCTTTCTCCTAGAGTGAAGGACACCAAAGCACTGCTCTGATCCCAAATGTAATTCATTGATTTATTTGCTTTACAAACACTATATATAAATATATATACTTCCCCTACAAACTTGTTTTGTCTATGGTGTCAGGATTTGTGTAAAAATATTGGATGCCAATAATATGTTTATTCGTAATAACACATTATACATAATAAAATAAAACAAAAGTAGTATTTTATTCTCTCTCTGAGGCTTCAGATGACTAGTGTGCTGAAGAATGAAAGCCCAGGCTGATATGATAATGTGATAGATTAACTGATTGCATTCTTGGCCCCAATTCATAAATTAATGGCCTCCGTTTAGCCCAGCTATCGGCCCTGTAACTTTATAGTCCCCTCCTAAGCTGACTCTGAACTGGCCTTGTGACTTGCCTTAGCCAAGAGAAAGCTACAGGAGTCATGGTGCTCTAATTATAGCCCTAAATCTTAAAAGGTTTTGCATTCCTTCCCTATCTTTCTTGTTTCCTCTTTGGACCCTGCTACCTCCACAAGAACAAGACTGGACTAGCTACTAGAATACAAGAAACCATATGGAACACAGCCCAGTTATCTCAGTCAAAGCCATCCTGGACTATTCTATGGCAAGATGATCTCAAACATATGTGATAGACTAGAAAATCCATCTACATCTCTCTTAACTGTCTCTAGACATGACATATGAGGGAGCACAGTTGAGAACAAAACTATTGTGCAGCTGACCTATAGACATATGAACATTAAAAATAATTGTCATTTTTAGTCATTAATATTTGGAGTGGCTTGTTACATAGCAATAGACAACTAATACCAACGGCTTTCTTGAGTTATTTTTAATGACTAGTGTTAATGTCCCATGAGAACCAACACTGCTTTAGCTTCTCAGGACCTGGCAATTCCGAGTGCATCAGTAGACCATATTCTTAATATAGATCTGGCAAACCCATCAAGGGAATGAGAGCATTAACTCATGAGAGCTCCTTCAGGAAGCTTCAAGGTCAGGAGCCATCTGCTAAGGGGAGCTATCTAACAAGGAAGGACTTGGTACATAGATGATACATAAATAAATTGATCTGCTAAAAACATGAGTCATTCCTTTGGGGTACCCTAGCCAGTGAACATTTCCTTTACTCAAGCTTCTGATAGTTGAGTTATTATAATTAAGAATTGAAAAATTTGTTCAAATTTTGGATCCTTAGGATAATAAGGCATTTGGCCTACCAGTTATACAAGCAAAGCTATCTTTCAATGCAATTAAACACATGTGTCTGGAATGGTTCAGCTGAAGCCAGGGTGTTTGTCCAAATGACTTTTTGGCATCCTTTCTGACCCATAAATTCATAACTTTAAACAGAATTTTTCCAAAGGAATTGCCTATTCTTTATAGCACATTATTACTTATAATTGATACTTAACAAATTTTATATAATTCAGATCCCATGTTTTAAAAAATTCACTAAATCCCTAAAGCTCATTATTGGGCAATAAGCATGCAATAAACCTGGAAGCCATTTTCAAAGAAAAAGAAGATTTACGTGGGAGGATCTAAAGTCTAGGAATCACAATAATCAAATCTTGTGGTCAGGAGACATTAGTTGCTGCTGTGAGGTCTCTGGAACATAAACATGGCTGAAACCCACATTGAACCAATAGCTTACATCAACAAGTTTTGTACTATGTCCTACACAAACAGATTGGGTGGAAAGAGAAATCTTCCAAATTAAATCAGCTCATCATTTCCAGACAACATTCTTGTAACCCTACTGCCATCCAAATTAGGGAGAAGGTGAAGAAGGAAGATTGGAGCCTCAATAAAACATCTTATAACCACCAAAATGTCAGCTTTCCTGGTTTGGAATTAAGTAGGGTTGGCTTGTTCACCCAAGAATGTTCCTATGAGTGTCCTGGAAAACAATAAAAAATACTAAGAAAATATTTAAGAATAAGCTATAGACTCATATTTTACTAATATGTTCTGCGTCTATAGTAATACTTTGTTAAAAACATTTTTCGTAGCATGAATGATAAAAGTATTAGTTCATGAAAATATGTTATGTGAAGTTTATATACGTGTGATTACTATTACAAGTCAAACCTTGTCATAACAAATAAACACTTGTATAAAGTATTATCCAAATCTTACTTATTCGATCACTTGTTTCTCATATAAATATTTGAAAAAATTAACTTCCTTTAAAATAAAGGAAGGCAAATGTCTCTCTTCCTAATTTCATTTTAATCAAATCTTATCTGAATAAATAATAAAAATATGAAGCAGCCAATTAGTTTGCAAACAATGTACTATGAATGTTTTATAACTTAGAAAGTATCTCATCAACCTAACAGTCTCAGCTAATGGAAAGTTTTTGGTTGAAACATGAAGTCAATACTACCTAAATGTGCAGTTTCACCATTTCAAACAAAGATTACTATTTAAATTTTATTATTTGTTTTAAATATTCATCTAAATAATGTTACAGATGTTAACAAATTGTACATTTTACAAAAGGTTATAAGGAATTGCAATAGCCTCTCGCTCTCATCTCTTCCTACTAATCCTCTTATTTCACAAATCATAAGAAAAAATGGGTTTTATTCCATCAAAGTAAGTATTTTTGTTTCAATGAAGGACACTATAGACAAAATCAACAGCTACTTCATAGACCAGAAAGCAATATTTAAAATACCTAAAGCATCTAAAGATTAACAGTAAAAACATAAAAGGAACTCTTGAAAATCAAAATGAAAAAAATTAGAAAATGCTATGGATAAAGGGCTACAGGTTATGAACAGATCCATCACAGGAAAGAAAATTAGAATGCCTAAGAAGTAGACAAAGATATGACTAAACTCACTTTTAATAAGATGTTTCACTTATGTAATGCTACATAACACAGAACCCAAAATGGAGAGGCTTGAAACAAAAAAGTGATTTCTTCTTTGCCTCAGGGGATAATGACTGGCTTATTACTCATTCAGCTGCATTTATCTTTGAGCTTTTCTAGAATTGGAACGTCAAGGCTTGCTTCTCTTACATATGTGGAACCTCAGCTGGGATGGTTTGAACAGATGGGGCCACACATCTCACTTTATCTGGGTATGTTTTCTATCAATGTAGACCACCTCGTTATACAGTTCAGGGGTCTCAGAGAGCAAAAGCAGAAGCACAAACTGGCATAGTATCATTTCTGCCACAATCTATTGGTTATAGTAAGTCACATAGCCAGATAAAGAAAGGGGAATTCGGCCAGGTGCAGTAGCTAACACCTGTAATCCCAGCACTTTGGGAGACAGGTGGATCACCTGATGTCAGGAGTTCAAGACCAGCCTGGCCAACATGATGAAACCCTTCTCTGCTAAAAATAGAAAAATTAGCCAGGTGTGGTGGTGGGAGCCTGTAATCTCAGCTATTAGGGAGGCTGAGGCAGAAGAATCACTTGAACTCGGGAGGCAGAGGTTGCAGTGAGCCGAGATCGCGCCACTGCACTCCAGCCTGGGGACAGAGCCAGACTCCATCTCAAAAAAAAAAACAAAAAAAAAGAAAAAAAAGAAAAAAAAAAAAAAACAGAAAGAGGAAATAGTTGTAATCTCTTAGTGCCAGAAGTGGTCAAGAGCTTGTGATTATATTTAACTGCAACATTAGTTAGGTGCAAAAATCTTAAAACAGTAATAGTATACTACTTCTCACACATCAGATTGGTAAAAGGCATGAAATTTGAATAGGGTTGGTAAGGATGTAAGAAAGCAAAAACCTTAATGCACTTATATATAGGTAATATAAATATTGAAAGGACTCTGGTGAAGCAAAGAAATAAGTAGGATTTGCTTTCTGACACAATATTTGTGATTATACATTCCAGAAATATTTTTGAAAAGCTCCCTAGGTGAACCTCTAAGAAAATATTTTTTGCAGTATTTTTTGTGGCAGTGAAGCTATGAAGGCATCTTATATGACAATCACTGTGGAATTCAGCAAGTAAAACAGGGTGGATTTATATTGAATCTCATAAAGCTAGTAGAATCAATGACATAAATATACTCATGGAAACATGAAAACATTTTTAAAAACATAATGTTGACTGAAATAAAGCCAAAATGAAATAAATAAGCAATATAGCTCAATACATTTAATGTAAATGAAAATAACACATCTGACTTAATAAAAAACTTTTCCAAAAAAAAAAAAAAATTGGAGAGGCAAAGCAAGATGGCCAAATAAAAGGCTCCAGTAGTCATCTGTCCCACAGGAGCACCTAATTTAACAACTATCTACCTACACAAAAACACCTTCATGAGGACCAAAAATCAAATGAGCACTCACAGTACCTTGTTTTAACTCCATATCTGAAAGAGGCACTGAAGAAGGTAGGAAAGACAGTCTTGAATTACTGATGCCATCCCTTCCCCATTCACCCACAGAAGTGCCTTGCCACAGAGAAAATCTGTGCACTCAGGAGAGGAGAACACAGTGACTGTGAGTCTTTGCATTGATCTCATTGCTGTCTTGTCATAGCAGAAAGCAAAACTAGGTTGGAACTAAGCTCACATCAATCTACGGAGGGCACATTTAGAATAGCACTATCCAGAGGGGAATTGCCCATCCCAGTGGCTGGAAGTTGAGTTCCAGCAAGCCTTGTCACTGTACTCTAAAGTACTTTGAGGCCCTAAATAAATTTGAAAGGCAGTCTAGGCTACGAGGACTGCAACTCCTAGACAAATCATATTGCTGAGCCAGGTGTGGAGCTGGTGGATTCGGGGGGCATGCAGACTACTGAGACACCACCCGGAGTGGCTAAGGCAGTGGTTGTGCAACGCTGCACAGCTGCAAACTGCAGCTCCAAAAGAGACCCCTTCCTTCCACTTGAGGAGAGGAGAGGGAAGAGTAAAGAGCACTTTATCTTGCATCTTGGATATCAGCTAAGCCACGGTAGGATAAGGCACAGTCAGAGTCATGAGGCTCCCATTCCAGGCCTAACTACCAGATGACATATCTATGCATGCCCTGGGCCAGAAGGGAACCTGTTGCCTTGAAGGAAATGACTCAATCCTGTCAGGATCCATCACCTGCTGAAAGAGCTCTTGGGCCCTGAATAATAAACAGTGATACCTAGGTAGTAAGCCAACGGGATTCAGTGAGGCTCTGAGATGTGCTGGCTTCAGGTGACACCCAGCATATTCATGGTGGCTGTGATGGGAAACTCCGTCTGCTTGACAGAAGCAGAGGAAAAAGTAAAGGGGACTTTGTCTTGCATCTGAGATACCAGCTTGGCTGCAGGAGGGAAAAGCACCAAGTGGGCTCTTGGAGTCCTTGATTCCAGGCAGTGGGTCCAGAATGGCATTTCTGGACCTTCCCTAGGCCAGATGGGAGGCCCCTTCCCTGAAGGGGGGGTCTCAGGCCAAGCAGCATTCACAACAAGCTGACTGAAGAGCCCTTGGATCGTAAAGGGACATTGGTAGCCTGGCAGTACTCTCTATGGGCCTTTGGTGGTGTTAGCCACAGGGGGAGACTCCTCTGCATGTGGAAAAGGGAGGAAAGAGTGGGAAGGACTGCATCTCACGGTTTGAGTGCCATTTCAGTCACAATAGACCACCAGGCTGATATCTAAGGTTCTTGAATTCAGTCTCTGGCTTATTGTTAATCTCTTACTGCACCTAATTTATACATTAAACTTTATCATAGCTCGTATGCGTAGGGAAAACCACAGTATATATAGGGTTTGGTCCTATCTGCAGTTTCACTAGGAATCTTTATCCACTGACAGTCTTGGAATGTACTCAAGAATAAGGAGTGAATACTGTGATATCTAAGATCAGCAGAAAATTTTTGGTTTACTTTTCACTTTGCTATAAAGGTCACTTATTGTAGCTCTTGTTTAGTTTAGACCAATTAACATTTTCAACAGGTTTTGTGGAACAGCCAATATAATGAAAATACAAACTGAAATTGTAAAATATGCTGCACATGTATTGACTTGGGTCTGGATGATTAACCTTGATTGATACTATAGTCTAGTTAACATAATTAGTTAGCCATAGTACGTATACCTCATGTTGTCTTTAGCACAAGAGATAATAATTTTGTGGAAAACTAAGTTTTATTTGGAAAATTACCACTTTCAATACAAATACTCAGAGAAACTTTCAACTCTACCTAAGTAAATCATCTTGAGAATAATATCTTAGTGATAATACAAATTAATAATTGCAGTGGGTCAAGTGGGAGTTTTAAAAATTCAAGAAGCAAACCAAAAAATTATCACAGTCTGGGCAACATGGAGAGACCTTATCTCTACAAAAAGGAAAAATAAATAAATATGCTGGGCATGGTAGTGCTCACCTGTGATACAAGATGCTCAGAAGATTGAGGTAGGAAGATCCTTTGAGACAAGGAGGTAGAAGCTGCCATTAGAATGGAGACCCTGTCTCAAAGGAAAAAAAAAAAAAAAAAAAACTGGGCGTGGTGGCTCACGCCTATAATACCAGTAGTTTGGGAGGCCAAAGTGGCAGGATAACTTCAGCCCAGGAGTTCGAAACCAGCCTCCTCAACATAAGTGAGACCTTGTCTCTACAAAAAAATAGAAAAATTAGCCAGGCCTGGTGATGCCTACCTGGACTTCTGGTCCCAGCTACTCAAGTGGGGCTGAGGTGGGAGGACCGCTTAGGCCTGGGAGGTCTAGGCTGCAGTGAGCTGTGATTGTACCACTGCACTCCAGCCTGGGTGACAGAGCGGGGCACCGTCTAAATAAATCAATGAAATTCATGACACTCAGTGTGATTCAAAAGGGGCAATGAAGTTGTGCTTATCCTGCAGATGTCAGCTGGTTCCCTTAAGTCATCATATATTGTTGTTACCTTTTTATTTCGTGAGTATAGATAGGTGACTGGCTGTATGACCTAGAATGTGTCCTTAAAATTATTTTCAAGGAAAGCAAATTATGTGGTTTTGAGAGGAAAAAGTTTTCAATTTCAAGTAGAAAATGGATTATGTATTAATCCATAAAATTTTATATGCTAGTCCCCAATTATACTTTGTATAGCTATAGTATTACATGTTTTGAGCATAGGAATGAATCTCTGTCTAGTCATCCCAGTCATTTATCTTTTATTTTCCCCATAGTATAAGACAAGAAGTAAGATGGATGAGCTGCCACTTTTCCACAGAGGGATACCAGTGAGATACAGACATTCCTGATGTAGGTTTTGGCAGTAGATGTAGGTTGGCATAAAACTCTTCAAAATTTCCTTAAATAACACTGATTAAAGGTTTATATGCCAACCTCTGCTCTTGACTGCATCTCTTTTGTAAAGGTTCTGGATAAATTTTGAATTTCGTTTGATTGGTAGGCTTATTCAATTGCAGAAAAAGCTGCTTTTTCCCGTCACACACATTCTTGCCTTTTCCAAATTAGCACTATCCTCATACCTTGGAAGGTACAGCTAGGTTGAGTAACAAATCCCTGAAGCAAATCTCTTTGAAAAATAAAAATCAATTTTTCACACTTTCAAAAATGCATAATAATTTGGAGTTTGTCTACAGGGAGGTATTACTTTCTCAACCACAAGTTCCTTCCCTCTTGCTCAGTCTCCTTATTAGAAAACACTGTGTGTAAACCTTAGGTGCACAGAATACTACTATGATTCACTCTGCAGAGTAGTACATGCTGTGAGTGTCCTGCCTAAAGCAATTGTTCTGCATTCCTTTGGGGTACTAGCATTCTCTGAACTAAAATTATGCTTGAAAGCCTGATAATTTAATAAATCTTTTAATTGTGAGCTGTAAATTGTCAAGTTCCTTTTTAGTTTGGTGTTAACAATATTAGCTCTCTGCAAAGAGCGCACTGAAATGATTAGCTAGACAGCATCCTTTTAAAAGGCCAGACTATGGATTCTCTTTTTTGTACCATCTTCCAGAAGCAGCCAAATAATGTAGACACTTTACTCTTATTATATTGAGGTGAAGAAAGCTGAAAGTCTACCACATTCTTGGAAAGAATCAAAGAGTTCATTCCTTATCTCAGAAATTGGGTTTGCATTAATGTGCTGCCTTTAGGTATTTCAATCCATAGTACCAAGTATGTTCTTTCTTTTCTTGTACATAGCAACAATGCTGACACCAGAGATTTTTCTCTTTTTTTCTCATTTCATTATAATACATTTTCTATGTTAGCTATGAAGAGGTAAGGAGTCAACATTTTACTTTGAAAGTTTTGAAATTAATGCAGAAATTTTCAATGGGTGTGTCACAAAGGGGTTTTGTAGTATCTATCTGACAACAGATAACTTTTTTTTGGCATTCATGTTATCAAAACAGGACAAATAGTTTTGTCCAGTTACTCAGGAAAGAATCACAGAGAGAAGACAGAGTTATACAATGGGTTAAAATTACATATATATGAAAAATTGGGGAGATAATTTGAATCCTTGATAGCATGTCATAGCAACTTTATGCTTAATTTGAGTTTATTCAATTTTCAATATTTACACTTGAATATTAGTGCGTAATATAGGCACAGAAATTAATTCCAGGAGGCTTCACACTTTATTTTTATAATGCTTTATTTTTCCTGAAGACATAAATGTGCATGTTTCGATATTTATTTCTTTGCCTCAAGCAATACTGTCATCAACCTCCTGGTAGCAGCATTTTTTATGGTTTGAAATCTCATCTAGGCTAACTGGCAGCTATTTTAGCTTGGCTATACATTTTACATCCTGGAGTTCCTGTTTCTTTATCTAGAAAATAAGTCAATAGCATGTTTTTTATGGTATTTTAAATATCAAATGAAATAATATATGAGAAGACAAAACATCTAGAAGTGTCTCATAAATGTTAGTCCTTTCTCAATTAAAAAGCAAATGTTCATTCAAGGTATAACACAAAAACTAACTGGGCATTAAAAATATCAAGTACATTTGGTTTGCAAATAGCTGTGCCAATAACCTTAGTTTCTTAAGTACTAATTACCAGCGTCCTTTTGGAATATACAAAATGCATTAGATCTCTCTTAAATATATTTCTCATATAACAGCAGATAAAAGTGAACTCATAGTATGTTGTGAGGAATTTTATACTTCTTAGTTCTTTTGTATTCCTATTGCCTACAATTTCAGATTTTCAAAACTTTTTATCTGAAGAGTGTTGTAGCCTTATTTTTAATTACTTTTTATATCTCTATTATTAATATTATAAAGATAAGTGATGATCTTAAAATTGTCTATAAAAATATCTTCAAAGGTTATTCATATCCCATTGAATATATCTGATTTTTTTCCATTTCAGCCTTTGGCTTCAAAATTTATAACCATTATTTCCAGTTATTCCTATACATGTACCTTATACTTCCGCCAAATTAAGCTCTTTCTCATCTCTAAACATGTCTTACGTGCCCTTACATTCTCTTACTCAAACCAACCTTTCGGTATGTGATAACATCGCCACCTGAAACAACCTCCTGCCTTTCATTCATTTGATAGAATTTTATGCATCTCTCGTAATCCAAGTCAAATGTGATGTCCTATACAAATGTATCCCTCGTGATACTGAGAAAATAATTCAATGTTCTTCTCTGCATTCTCTCTCTCTCTCTGTGTGTGTGTGTGTGTTTATCATATATATGTGGTAAAAAAAAATATGGAAATTTCCCAGAGAGAGAGAGAGAGATTCATCTAACTTACGGCTATTACCATATTCCTAGTTTTTAGTTTACCTCCACATATGACTTTGGAGCTTTATTTACAATCATCTTTTTGATACTGGAAATACCTAGTATAATGAAATTAAATGAATCCCTTAATCCTTCTTCTGGATTAGAGTACTATGTCACAACAATGAGTATTTTTAAATGAAAAGGAATTGAGAAGTAGAAGGAAGAAATAACCTGGTAGAATAGATGTCCTGTCAGGAACTTGATGAGCTGGTGCTGGGGTGGGGATTGTAAGTGAGCAGGTTCTGAGCAAAAACAACGGGAGCACAATGAATGGAAGTGTATATACAGGCGAGAGATAGTATTTCATGTTCTTGGCTAATGGTAACTCTGTTCCTATAGAAAATGGTTATGTAGAGCAACTCGGCCACCGGAGAAAACAAGAAGACTGTTTTCAAATGCAAAACTTGACCTTTAAACTCCATAAATGTTGCAGACTGTGCCCTAATAGCACACCTTTGCTCACACAATTGTGACACTGATCCTCTCAGAAACATTCAGATTCCTCTCATGACCTCTTTAGTCAATTGCAACTCTGTGTAGTGCCTGATCTATGATCTGGCACCTTTCAAAGTTGCCTTTGCCTATTCTGATGCAGATATTCAAAACTCTAGCCAAACTAGGCTGCTCCAATATTTCACGCATGACCTAGTTTTCCACTGTCATACAGTTTCTCATATTCTTTGATCTGACTGAAATACACTTCCATCTAACTTGTCTTCATTCCCCACAATCTCCCTCTCTATTTATGTATTGAAATGCTACTCATGCTTCAAGACATAATTAAAATATCTGTTTTTATTTGAGGTCTTCTGAGATTCCTAGCAGTATGTCACAAATAAGATATGATTTATTCTTCTTTGTACAAGCAAAATAATTTAAATAATTTGTAGAAATCATGGTATTCTCTTATAATGTGTGCATACTTTTTAATATTCTTTATTAGTCTATGAATACCTAAACATGGAGTACACATTTTTAAAAATTGCACATTGAATGAGCTAAGAAATATCCAACGAATCCACATGTAAATGACAGGAACTGTTTTCATAAATAAAGTCAGAATAAAATTAAGAAAGTAAAATATTTGATTTTTATGTGAAATAGAAAATTTCATTCAATTGAGAGATTAATATGGAATATGTTAAACTGCAGTTTGCAACAAAACATCAATTGATTAGTTTCACGGAGATAGAAAAGGTTGTCAGGCATGGTGGCTTACACCTGTAATCTCAGCACTTTGGGTGGTTGGGGCATAGGATCACTTGAGCCCAGGTATTTGAGGGCACTCTGAAAAACACAGGGAGACCCCATCTCTACCAAAAAAAAAAAAAAAAAAAAGCCTGGGCATGGTGGTTCGCACCTGTATTCTCTGCTACTTGGGAGGCTGAAGTGAGAGGATCACTTGAGCCAGGAGCCTGATGCTGTGAGCTGTGATTGTGCCATTACACTGCAGCCAGTGTGACAGAGCAAGGCCCTGTCTTTAAGAGAGAGAGAGGAAGGAATGAAGGAAGGAAGGAAGGAAGGAAGGAAGGAAGGAAGGAAGAAGGAAGGAAGGAAGGAAGGAAGGAAGGAAGGAAGGAAGGAAGGGAGGGAGGGGAAAAAAAGAAAGAAAAAGAAAGAAACAAGAAAGAAAGAAAGAAAAGAAAGAAAGATAGAAAGAAAGAAAGAAAGAAGAAAGAAAGAAAGAAAGGAAAAGGAAAGGAAAAGAAAAGAAAAGAAAGTTGATAAACATCAGGAAAACAACTAGCATGAAAAAAAGTGACATCATAATCTAACAATTTTATAATAAAAAGAAATATTGATTGCTTTTGCATCAAGAAGCACCAAATCTCTCAGGAGTTCCAATGTCTAATTAATGCTGGTTCCCCACCAAAAAAACTCTTAGTGAGAGTAGGGGACTAAAACTTCTGATGGCTGTGTATCTTGAATTCTCTACCAAAAGGCCATCAATAGATTTCTTGTTCATTAAAATCTTAATTCTCTCACTCCTGGGCTGTGATTTCTCTATCAAGCCCAGGCTTGGCTACTTTATTCATTTATTCGAATTCATTCGACACCAAAAAAAAAAAATACAATCTTTTGAAACACAAAAAAAGTATCACTCTTTGCTTGCCTCCCAAAGCAGTCCAGGTTATCTCTAAGATTGCAATAAAAGACAAAATTAAGTTTCAAGAAGCAATTAGGAAGAAACATATAAGAATACATATGGAACCCCGAAAAATAACAGTAGTTATTTTAGGTAATGTTTCTCTTTAAAAATTCTAATTTGCTCAGATAGGTCATGTTTTAAATTGAATATTCCATATACAAGCTCAATCTACTTTTAATTATTATTTTGTATTTGAGATGCTTTCTTATCAGCCAATCTTGTGTATGGTATGTGATTTGGTATATTCATCTCAACAAATAATGAAGTCCTCAACCGTGATATCTAGAATTTAACAGAAATTACTGTAGCACACACAATGATTTTATAAAATAAAGGTGGTAATGGGAAGCAGACAATTAAACATCATCAGGAAAATGTCAAGTTGATTTTCTTCCCAACTAATTTAATCCATGACATAAAAATTTCTATGTTTTAAACTAAATTGATTTAACCTTTAACTTCAACATATAAAGAATTATGTTCCAAATTTATTTATTATTTAAAATGCATAATCATACATAAACCTGGGATGAATGCAATGTGATGCTATGTTAAATAGAGCAACAAGAAAAAGTGAAATGTATGACCTTGTTTTAACTAATCACTCATTGTCCTTATTGGGAGAGATTTCAATCCTCCCACCTCTTAAATTTTTACAATAGCTAAGGCAACAAAAGGAACACAGCCCTTTCTATGGAATGTACAACAACAAAATTCTGTCAGTATTCACTCTGCCAAAGTGCTATAATTAGAACTTGCTGGAAGTGAAATTACTGTGATAAATAATTATATTTTCTCTACTAACAGCACATGTGGGAATACAATAGAGATAAACACAATGAGAGGGAGAGAGAGACAGAGTACTCTTTCTGTCTAACATCTCTGATAAAAACGGCACCAGAGACAGGCAATAAACTTAGTATGCAGGTAGTAACTCTCTCCCATGAACCCAGAGCTCCCCGGTTTGTCAGTGTCGAGAAAGAAAGAGTACCAGGCATTCTTAGGAAATCAGTGACAGCACCATGTTAAATGCTCCTTCATGGGTTATTACAGGTCAGTCTAAGAATCCCTTTATCCTCACTTTCTGTCACTTTGCTATTTTCTTTATGAGTTTTTAGTTTTCCTTATTGGGACATCATGATTAAACAAACATCAGAACTGCCCGTTAAATGCAGGTGGATTTGCTGGGCAAATATGAAAAACAACATGACCTACAAATAGTACAAGGGATGTGTTATACAGAATGTGCTTTTCCACAGAAAAGACAATAAAGACTGAGTTGACAGTTGTAGAAAAATACTTATTTTGTCCAAATTACCTGGAAGAACTCTATTACGGAAATTGAAGCTGTTTTGTTTGGTTTGGTTTTGTTTTAAAAGGGATGTGATATCTGTTCACAGGGAAACACTCTCAACACAGAAACACCCCTAGATCACAGCTGGATTGTCCAGCGCTCCAGCTCTTCCTTACTCTGTTCTTTCATATAATCAGTCCTCAGAAAGCCTGTCTAACCTATACCTCCAGCCAGCTCAGACTTGTCAAGGCATGTTGGTAGAGATGGAGTCTTGAGCTCAAGGTGAATCTAACTTCTTGAAGAATCAGAAGCTGAAAAGAACAAAATATAACTAGGAGGCCAGCTATATGGTTTCAGGGACATAAGTCACCCTATAAATCTCTAGGCTGGTTGAGAAATGTTCTCATATAGATCCGTGCACCAGTCTCATGTGGAATGATCTGTTAAGTAAGGACTATCTGTGCATATTAATGGGGTGAAACCCAGATAGGCTTGTAACACAATTCCTGTTTGTTCTGAAGGGCGTGTGTGTGTGTGTGTGTGTGTGTGTGTGTGTGTGTTATGTTGGGGGACAAGAGAAACCAGAGAATTTAATAATACAATACAGGTTGTTTCACTGGAAATTCTTTATGAAACTAAAAGCAGAGTATTTTGTGACCTACCTGATACACAGAGGAAACGTGTCCTGTATTTTCTCCAAGTTGATTGGTCTCCGGATAGCATCCTAGTAGCAGTTAGGGCTCCTTTCCATAAGCTGCACACTTGAAGCTCAATAGGGTCTTGTGTTTTTGAGACCCGTTTCCTCCAATGCTTTTATTATATTGAATCATTTTGCTTTTTCCACAAGACCTTCTTTTTTCCTACACTTCTGTTCTGTGTGAGCAACAAGTATTATTTTAAAAAAGCAAATATTACTACTTGTAAACTATTAACAACCTATTCGGCATTTCTACAACTATCTGGCACTTTAGGCAAAGAGCTTCTGGATATTAGAATAAGTGGGGACTTTATGGTTTTCCATCCATAATCTGGACCCCAGGTGAGATTTTATAATGAAACCAAATGTTAAACTATGTGCTGTCCAGAATCTATGCTATGGTCTGAATGTTTGTGACCCCCTAAAAGTCATATGCTTAAATCTTAATCCCCAAGGTGATGGTATTAGGAGCTAGGGTCCTTAGGAGTTGATTTGTTCATGAGTGCTTTGCCCTTATTAATGAAATAAGTACCCTTATAAAAGAGGCCCAGGAGAAACCTATTTCCATTCCATCACATAAGAACACAACGAGAAGGCACCCTCTATAAATCAGAAAGTGTGTCATCACCAGAGATAGAATCAGTTGAGACCTTGATCTTGAAATTCCCAGCCACAAGACTGAAAGTAAATTTCTATTTATATGCCACCCAGTTTAAGGTATTTTGTAATAGTAGTTCAAATGGACTAAGGCAACCTATAAGCACTCAGATATATAAAGTGATTCAGCTTCTACTTGTAGTATGGAGAAACTCCTCTCTTGGTCCCCCATCATGCTGAGATAGAAGACTCTCAATTCTGAAGACCTGGAGCAACCAGCCTTGTGGTTGGTTTAGGGGAATTAATCTGCCAAGAATCATAGCTTTGCAGGAACAAGTGGGCTCTAGCATTTGACTCCTATATGAAAAAGAAGGCCCGTGTCACCTTTCTAAACACCTGTCTTGAACACCATCATTTTACCAGTGAACAATTACTTCTAACATCCCTTGGAGGCAGAGAAGCTGGATTGATATACTTGTGATAGGAACAGGAGGCAGGAAAATTCTGGGCAGAAGAGGGCGAGTCTGGTGAGGGCCTCACCCTCAAGCATGGAACCACGGCCCAAAGTGAGAACAGGCATTCCTCTTTTCCTGCTGAAATGTTGCCTTTTCCAAAAGCACCCATGGCACGCCTGCCCCCCATCCTCTACCCTTAAAACCCTCAGGCTTCACTGGCAGAGAGAGAGGAGAAGAGGAGAAGCAGCTGGAGGCCAGAGACTATGGTTTGATGTGGGAGAGAAGCAGCTTAACTTCAGAGGGGTGGCTTGATGGCATTGCTTTGTAGAGGAGTCCAGCTGGGGACAGTTGGACTCTGGGGGAAGATCCTCTTCCCACTCCATCCCCTTTCCAGCTCCCCTTCCAGCTGAGAGCCACTTTCATTGCCAGTGAAATCCTCTGTATTCACCACCCTTCAATTCATATGTGTGACCTGATTTTTCCTCAATGGTGAACAAGAGCTCAGGTGCCATGGGCACAGATGCTAAAGGCTGTCACACTGACCCTCTATCCTCACTGACAAAGAGCAACCACCTCATGCAAAAAAGCAGAGGGCCCACTGAGTTGTTTAACACTTAAGCTGTCTGTGGCTGGCAAAGCTAAAAAAGCACTGTAACACACACCCTCTGGGGCTTTGTGGGTCATGGGTACTCCCTGTTAGATGCTGCAGGAGAACCACAGGGAATTTTGCTCCTACAGGCACTTAAAGGCACTCGACCCAGCTCCTGCACCCTCTCACCTGTGCTCCCCTTCCTGTAAGGGGTGGAACACAGCAGGACCCAACAAGAGGAGTCTTCCCCTCCCAGCACAGAAGTGGATGGCTAGTTCTAGCACCCGTGCACTCCCAGTACTCGCCTGCAAAAGGGTCAGGAAAAATTTCCTGCTTCTCTTGGACCTTAGGAAAATTCTATTACAATTTCTTTAATTTTTTCAGTGATTTAAGGATGTCATCAGTTGAAAGTAGAGATGGAGAAGAAGGGTTGGAGGTGAAGACAAAAGGAAGGGTATGAAATCAACATATAAGATAGTAGGAACATGGATGGATTAGGGAATGAAGTTTTATTTATTTGCAGTATTAGGTGCCCATTTGTTGTTATTAGTCATGATTTCAAGGTTGTTCACTTTGGTGATGCATTTTTTTCCAGACACATTCAACTGCATGAATGCAGATGTGGAATAAACAAAACAAATGCATTTAAGTGGAATTAGAATTACATTCCATAACCAATGCTGAAATATTTTCAAAGAAAATACAACATAAAGTATATAACATTATTTGTGACCCAAACTGTATATTTCCAGTTTCTTATTTTCATTGTTACTTATTTAAATTGATAGTCTCAGAGATCCCAAATTGAACATGCCATCCCATAACCAACCTGTGTAAAATAGATTCTTTTTATTTATTCTATCTCTCTCTCAGCCCACCCCCACTACCAACACCAAAGCATTCATCAAAATTATAATTAATCTATTTATTTGTTCTTTATCACTCTCTCTTTTTGAAATTATATGTGTAAAACATACATAATTCTTTGTTTGCCATTCTATTCTCAGCATCTGGCACAAAGTCTGGCATATAATAGATACTCAATACATATTTACAGAATGACTACATGAATGAAGAAATGAATATGAGCAAATAAATAACTGAAGGAAGAGAAAGATCTGGCTATGGTTTGTATCTTACAGTTTTCTGGTTGTGAAGAACTAGAGATAGGTGGTTTATCACCATCCCTTGTGATTTCATAATACTTAGCCTGTTGAATTGGTGAGTTCTCAGGTCTAGAGCCAGTCCTATCTACTCTGTGACCCTTCTTTCCCAATCATTATTGGAATATTATACAAGCAGTGAACCATTCATTTGTCATGAAGTAGTTATCTAAATTATGAAGAATCATGAAACAAAACTCTTTGGGAACACTAAGAAGTGAATTTACTTTCATTGGTGTTGATAATTTTGGTTTAATATAAGCTGGCTTTACAGCTCTTTTCTGTTTCAGTCCCATCCACAGTAGGTTTGGCAATCTTTCTAAGCTATTATATTTGGCAGGGCTCCAAATACAACTTCTGAGTTAAAGCTGGAGGTAACTCCTCTCAATTGACTGCTTCACGTGGTGGATAAGAGTCAGGATCTTTGGAACTTCTTTTTAAACATTCATACATGCACAGACTTACTTATTTTTATTTACTACTCTCATTTTTTACACCATGTTTTTTTTGACTCTATTTCTTTTTCTTCTCTTATGTTAACCTACACTGCTTGGCAGGTCTTTTACGGGTTACATACTCTTATTTTATGCTTTATGCTTACCCAGATCCCAAGACCTTAGTCACAATATTCTTCAAACATTCTTCATTCAGACCCTGCATTCTTATAACATTAGCATCAATGATGGCCACATTTTCAAAAATATGCATGAGATATATTTTATATTAAGTATAAAAATGACACATGTACAAAAACAATTGGGAAAAGCTTACTCATTTAAAAAATTAGGAAATTATCTTTCTCTTTTTCTTATTTTTTTCTTGTTAAATATATTTCCCAAAAAGCTCTGGAGAAATTTCCTGCTTTACTAAGCAAAAATAACAATGAAAATTTTGTTGTTAACAAAAATCTGGTAATACTCAGGGCCATTACTATTAGCATTGTTTCTGCATTGAGAATATAGAACGTTTACGACATAGGATTTGGCAATGGATCATGTTAGATTTATCAGAATTGTTTCATTTGAAAACAAAGTATTATGTGAACTTTTTCTTTCTTTCTTTCTTCTTTCTTTCTTTCTTTCTTTCTTTCTTTCTTTCTTTCTTTCTTTCTATTTCTTTCTAATTATTACTTTCTTCCAGGGGCTATATCAAAACTACTTTCTAACAGTGTAGTCAATAAAGGCTTACTCATTATTATGTTCCCACAATAAGTGAAGCCTGAAGTACACTTTGGCTCACTTATCCAGCATGATTAAGCAAGTGAAATTTTAAAACCAAACTGTCAGAAAATTGCACCAAATCTCTATTTCCTTTAGTATGTGGACACAGTCTATAAAATATTTTGGAAGTGATTATTTGCTTCATTTTAAAACAGCTGATTCCCAGGATAAATTTAATAAAAGTAATTTGTCATCACTATTGATTCATGGTAAGCAGCTATCCTGGGACTTTGGAATCACATACTAAACTTTAAAACTTTGCAGAACTTATAATTGCTACCTTCAGGAGTTTATCCATTGAAATACAGAAGGATGAAAAACTTTTCAGAATCAGATGGATGATTCAGCAACAATAATGGCTTAAGCAAGGACCGTTACAGAAATTAATACCATAGAGGGAGAAGGATGTATCTGGCCCACATCTTCATGAGGACGTTCTTAAAAGTATGTCGAAATAATTGTTAGGAATGTGTGAGGCCAACTATGTTTGTTTTTTAACCCTCAAATTTTAACAATAACTATATTCAGAAAAAAATACAAGTGAATTTCGCCAAACGCTTTTCTCTCTTAAATGTTAATCCCAAGGAAATTCCAGTGGAATGCACTGCATATGATTCTGATTTATTTTTACTTATTCAATCATTAAATCATATAGAGACTATAATGAAGCACTGGATTTTACTTTTCTTTGTCTTTTTAACACAGTTTCTATAGGAAGCAAATAGGCCTTGAGCTCCTTACAGGACTCAAACTGCCTGCAAACTGCATGGTCTATAGATTGAAGGGTTTTGCAATTTTTTGGATCATGGTAAGCAGGACACAACAATTGAGAATGCTTTTTACTGTTAAATTATCATTCCTACTCTGAAAATGGAAGGAGAGATAATGACTCCCTATATAATCTACATAGCTTTTAGGGAGCGAGGGAAGAAATTCAAACTTAAAAGCACCAGAGAAACAGTATTATAGGAAGATGGTGGAGTAGAAATCACCACATACCACACACATATAACAATTACTCCAGCAGAATCTGTTTGTTGTAACTATTTTGAAACTGTAGACTCCACTGAAGGCTTATAATTTACAGGGGAAGTCCTGGTTAACAAATTACAGATAATATCAGTCAATTTCAGGTCTTATTTTGACAGCAGCTACCCATCCCTGAACCCTAGCCTCCCGGCAGGCAGCCATGCTCATGTTCCTAGAACAGCTTGCATGCAGCATGCAAAAACAAGAGTAGGCAATAAGAAGCTGTCCCCCAAATATTGGGGAAGTATGATCTAATTATTGATTGCTGTGCTTGATTACAGAGGTACAGATACAGAGGCAGATAGCTATCATTTTTGCATCCCCCCATTGTTGCAAGCCCCCCAAATCTCTAGTTGAAGTGGTTTCTAAGGGATATAAAGGACTAGTGATTCTTAACCCCCTTTATTCTTATCTTGTCCTCTTTTCAGGGGCTAGACATTAAGTATCGGAACATTCCAAAGCAATCACATACACAGGAAAAATTGGAAAATCACTATGCATGCCTGTGGAAATGTGCAGGATCAGAAAAGACCTACAAAGACCTTAAGATTATACCTTAGGCTCATTCTCAGCACAAAGACAGCTGACATCAATTTAAAAAGAAAAACTAAACAACAATTTCTCAAATGCTGAGAAAGGGGAAAAATCTGATTTCTGGGAATTTACACATTATTAGACTCAAATATCCAGTTTTCAACAAAGAAAAAATCACAAGGCATACAAAAAAACAGAAAAGTATAACGTAGTCGAAGGAAAAAAACAAACCAACTGAGACTGTCACTGAGGAAAACCTAAAAAGTGTAAAACAAGTGTTTTTAAAATTGTTAACAGAACTGAAGAAAGATACAGAGAAAGTGAAGAAAATGATGTATGAACAAAATGAAAAATACATTAAAAAGATAGAAAAGTCAATATCAAACAAAAAATATTCTAAAGCTTAAAAGCACAGTAACTGAAATAAAAAATTCACTACATGGATACAAAGGCAGATTTAAACAGACGGAAGAATTGGTGAACTTGAAGATAAGATCATTGAAATTATTGAGTCTCAGGAAGAGAAAGAAAAAAGACTGAAGAATAGTGGAAAAAGCCTAAGAGATCCATGAGACATCATCAAGCAAACCAACTTATGCACAGCAGCAGTCCCAGAAGGAGAAAAGAAAGAAAGGGGCAGAGACGGTATTTGAAGAAATAAAGGCTGAAAAATTCCAAATTTGAAAAAATACTTAAATATAAACATGAAAGAATCTCAATGAACTCAAAGTAAAATGAAGTCAAAGACACCCACACTGAGACACACTACAATCAAAATGTCAAAAGCCAAAAATAAGAATCTTGAAAGTAACAAGAGATGAGTGTTACCACATACAAGGAATTGGTAATAAGATTGCCAGTACACATAAGAAACTTTGGAGGCCAGAAGGCAATGGGTTGATACACAGGCACACCTAAGATATTGTGGGTTCAGTTCTAAACCACCATGATAAAGTCAATATTGCAATAAAGCAAGTCACATGAATTCTTTCATTTTCCAGAGCATATAAAAGTTTATATTACTATAGCCTATCAAGTGTGCAGTAGTATATCTCTAATAAAAACTACATACCTTAATTAAAAAATTCTTTATTGCTCAAAATACTAATAATCATCAGATCTTAAAGCAAAATTTAATATTTCCTGTTGGCGAAGGGTCTTAACTTCTTATTGATAACTGATGACTGATTAGAGTCATGGTTGCCTAAGGCTGGGGTGGCTGTAGTAATTTCTTAAAATTTATATTTTCTTTTAAATAAATAAATAAATAAATTACATTTATTAAATTTAAATAAATTTTCCACATCAATTAAAGCTCCCTTTCACAAAATATTTCTCCATAGCAGGAAACACTATTTGATTGCATTCCGCCCTGAGTACAAATTCTTTCAAAGTAGGAGTCAATCCTCTCAAACCTTGTTGTTTCACCAATTAAGTTTATGTGATATTTTAAATCCTTGATTGTCATTTCAATAATGTTCTGAATATCTTCAACAGGAGTAAATTTCATCTCAACGAACTAATTTCTTTGCTCATCTATAAGAAACTACTCATTCTTTAAAGTTTAATCACAAGATTGTGGCAAATCAGCCACATCCTCAGGCTCCATTTCTAATTCCAGTTCTCTTGCTATTTCCACATGTGCAGCTGCTTCCTCCACTGAGGTCTTGAATGCCTAAAAGTCAACAAGAGGGTTATGATTAAATTCTTCTACACTCCTGCTAATGCTGATATTTTATTTTTTTAATTTTTAATTTTTGTACATACATAGTAGGTATATATATTTATGGGTTACATGAGATATTTTGATACAGGCATGCAATGTGTAATAATCCCATCAGAGTAAATGGGGTATCCATCATCTCAAGTATTTATCCTTTGTGTTTTGAAAAATCCAATTATACTCTTAGTTATTTTAAAATGTACAATTAAATTACTTTTGACTATAGTTACCCTGCGGTGCTAGCAAATACTAGGTCTTATTCATTCTTTCTAAATTTTTTTTTTGTACATATTAACTATCTCCATTTCCTCCCCACCACCACCCCTCGCCGACCATGCTATTACCCTTCCTGGCATCTGGTAAACATCCTTCTACTCTCTATCTCCATGAGTTCAATTAATAAGTGAAAACATGTAAAGTTTGTCTTTCCATGCCTGGCTTATTTCACTTAACATAATGACCTCCAGTTACATCTATGTTGTTGTAAAAGACAGGATCTCATTTTTTTATAGCTGGATAGTGCCATATATTGTGTATATGTACCATATTTTCTTTATTCATTCATATGAAGATGGACACTTACTTGCTTCCATTCTTGGCTATTGTGAATAGTGCTGCAATAAACATAGGAGTGCAGTTATCTCTTCAGATAAAGAAAATCTACTGATTTTCTTTCTTTTGGACATATACCTAAGAGTGGGATTGCTGGACTGTATGGTAACTCAATTTTTAATTTTTGAGGAAGCTCTAAACTGTTCCCATAGGGGTTGTACTGATTTACATTTCAATCAACAGTGCATGAGGGTTCCTTGTTCTCCACATCCTTTCCCACATTAGTTATTGCCTGAATTTTGGATAAAAACCATTTTAACCGGGGTGAGATGATATCTGATTTTTAGTTTTGATTTCCATTTCTCTGGTGATATACGATATTGAGGACCTTTTCCTATGCCTGTGTTCCAGGCTACTTAACTTGATGCGATCCTATTTGTCTATTTTTGCTTTGGTTGCCTGTGCTTATGGGGTACTTCTCAAGAAATCATTGACTACTTCAATATCCTGGAGTTTCCCCAGCGTTTTCTTTCAGTAGTTTCTTAGGTTCAGATCTTAGATTTGGTCTTTAATCTACTTTTGATTTGATTTTTGTATGTGGTGAGAGATAGGGATCAAATATCATTGTTTTGCCTATAGATATCCAGTTTTCCCATCACCATTTATTAAAGAGGTTCTCCTTTCACCAGTGTGTGTTATTGGCACCTTTGTTGAGAATTAGTTCGCTGTAGATATATAAATTATCTCTGGGTTCTCCATTATGTTCCAAGGACATGGGTATCTGGTTTTATTCCAGTAACATACCATTTTGTTTACTGTAGCCTTATAGTATAATTTAAAGTCAGGTAACATGATTCTTCCAGTTTTGTTCTTTGTGCTTAGGATAGGTTTGGCTATTCTGGGCCTTTTGTGGTACATATTAATTTTAGGATTTTTTTTTTCTTTTCTGTGAAGAATACCACTGTTATTTTGATAGGGATTGCATTAAATATGTAGATTGTTTTGTGTAGTATGGACATCTTAACAATTTTGATTCTTCCAATCCATGAACATAAAACATCTTTCCATTTTTTTGTGTCCTCTTCAATTTCTTGCATCAATGATTTTTTAGTTTTTGTTGTAGAGATCTTTCACTTCTTTGGTTAAGTTTACTCCTGGATGTTTTATTTGTTACGATTTTAAATGGGATTACATTCTTGGTTTCTTTTTTGGATTGTTCACTGTTGGCATGTAGAAGTGCTAGTGAATTTTGTATTGTTGACTTTGTATATTGCAACTTTACAGAATTTGTTATCAGTTCTAATAGCTTCTTGGGGGATCCTTTAGATTGTTTCCACATACAAGATTATATTATCTGCAAACAAAGATAATTTGACTTCTTCCATTCCAATTTGGAGCCCTTTATTTTTTTTCCTCCTGTCTTATTGCTCCAGCTAGGACTTACAGTGCTATGTTGAATAACAGTATTGAAAGTGGAAATCCTTATTGTGTTCTTGATCTTGGAAAAAAGACTTTCCATTTTTCCCCATTCAGTGTAATACTAGCTATTGGTCTGTCATATGTGGCTTTTATTATGTTGAGATATGTTCCTCATATACATAATTTTTTGAGAATTTTTCTCATGAAAAAATGTTGAATTTTATAAAATGTTTTTTTAGCTTCAATTGAAATGATCATGTGGTTTTTTCCCTTCATTCCTTTGATATAATGTGTCACATTGACAGATTTGCATATGTTGAACCACTTGCATCCCTGGGGTAAATCCCACATGGTCATGATGTATAATCTTTTTAATGTATTGTTGCATTCAATTTTCCAGCATTTTCTTGAGAATTTTTGAGTCAATATTTATCAGAGATAATGACCTATAGTTTTCTTTTCTCAATGTGTCTTTGTCTCATTTTGGTATCAGAGTAATATAGACCATGTAGAATTAGTTTGGAAGTATTCCCTCATCCTCTGTTTTTTAGAGTAGTTTGAGTAATATTGGTATTAGTTCTTCCTTAAATGTTTGGTAAAATTCAGCAGTGAAGCCAAGGGGTCCAAGGCTTTTCTTGCTGAGAGAATTTTTATTATGACATTGATCTTGTTACTTGTTATTGTTCTGTTTACATTTGGAATTTCTTCATGCTTCAATGGTGGTAGGTTGTCTGTGTTTAGGAATTTACCCATTTCTTCTAGATTTTCCAATGTATTGCATATAATGGTTCATAATGGCAACTAATGATCCCCTGAATTTCTGCAGTATCAGTTGTAATATCTCCTTTATCATCTCTGATTTTAATTATTTGGGTCTTACCTATTTTTTCTTGGTCTGGCTAAAGGTTCATCACTGTTGTTTAATTTTTCTAACAATCAACTTTTTTATTGAGTTTTGTACTGTTTTCTTCGTTTTAATTTTATTTCTGTTCCGATTTTCATTATTTCTAACTTTGGGTTAAATTTGCTCTTGCTTTTCTGTTTCTTTCAGATGCATTATTAGGTTGTTTATTTGAAGTTTTTCTTCTTTTCTCACATAGGCACTTATAGCTATAATCTTCTCTCTTAATACTTCTCTTCCTGTACATCATAGGTTTTGGTATGTTGTGTTTCCATCATCATTTGTTTCAAGAAATTGTTTGATTTTCTTTTTAATTTTTTCATTGACTCCCTGGTCATTCATGAGCACATTTAAAAATTTCCATGTATTTGTATAATTTCCAAAATTCCTCTTGTTCCTCTTGTTCTTGATTTCTAGTTTTACTTCATTGTGATTAGGGAAAATACTTGATAATATTTCAATTTTTTAATGTGTTAAGATTTGTTTGCGACCTAACATGTGGTCTATTCTTGAGAATGACCTGTGTCCTGAGAAAAAAAAATTGTCTTCAGCAGCCATTGGATGAAGTGTGTTGTAAATGTCTGTTTAATCCATTTGGTCTCTAACGCAGATTAAGTATGATGTTTCATTATTGATTTTCTATATGGACGGTTTGTTCAATGTTGAAAGTGGATGATGAAGTCTCCAGCTATTATTGCATTGGGGTCTATCTCTCTCTTTAGCTCCAATAGTATTTGCCTTACATATCTCAGTGCTTCAGTGTTGGGTGCATATATATTACAGCTGTTATATTCTCTTGATAATTTGAGACCTTTATTATTATATAATCACCTTATTTATCTTTTTCTTATACTTTTTGTCTTGAAACCTATTTTGTCTAACATAAGGACAGCTGCTCCAGCTTTTTTGTGGTTTCCACTGGTATGGAATATCTTCTTCCATCCCTTTATTTTAAGTCTATGTGTGTCTGTATAGACGAAGTGTTTTTCTTGTAGATAACAGATCATTGGTTCTTGTGGTTTTAACCATTCAGCTCCTCTATGTCTTTTAATCAGAGAGTTTAGTCCATTTACATTCAGTGTTACTATTCATGAGTCAGGACTTACTTCTGTCATTTTGTTATTTGTTTTCTGGTTAGTTTGTGGTCCCCTCTCCTTTCTTTCCTTCCTGTCTTCCTATTAGTGAACAGTGACTTTCTAGGGTGGTATAATTTAATTTCTTGCTTTTTATTTCTTATGTATCCACTGCATGATTTTCTGATTTGATGTTAACATGATTCTTACAAATGCTATCTTATAACCCATTCTTTTGAGCTGATAACAGCTTAACACTGCTTGCATAAACAAAGAAGCAAAGTCAACTAAAAAAACCCTATACCTCAATGTCATCCCCAGCTTTTGTTACATTTTGTTGTTTTTATTTATATTTTATTGTATTGTCTGCATCTTAAAAAGTTGTTGTAGTTATTTTTTTTGTTTGGTCATCATAGTCTTTCTACTTAAGAGTAGTATACACTTCACAGTTACATTGTTATAATATTTTGTATTTTCCTGTGTACTACCAAATGTAGATGATGGGTTGATGGGTGCAGCAGACAACCATGGCACATGTATACTTATGTAGCAAACCTGCACGTTCTGCACGTGTCCCAGAACTGAAAGTATAATTAAAAAAAAAAAAAAAAAAGAACGTGGAGATTACTCCAGTAATCAAAAATATCTGGAAAAGGAAAGTAATGGATCTGGCTTCATTTGTGAATTCTACCAAACATTTAAAGAAGAACTAAAATCAATCATTCTCAAACTTTTTCAAAGAAATTCAAAAGTAGGGAACAATCTGTAAACTATTCTATAAGGCCAGCAGTGCCATGATTCCAAAATGAGACAAATACACTACTAGAGAAAACTACAGACCAGTACCTCTTATGAACATTGATTAAAATGTCCTCAACAAAATGCTGTCAGACTAAATTCAGCAGCATATTCAAAGGATTGTACACCATGACCAAATGGAATTTATTCTTGAGATGCAAGGATGTTTCAGTATTTGAAAATTGATCAATATAACATACCACATTAGCAGAATGAAGGAAATAAAAAACACATAACCATCTCCATTGATGCAGAAAACACATTTGACAAAATTCAACACACTTTTATGGTTAAAATAACATATTAAACAAACCAGAAATAAAAGAAAAATGCATATATATATATATATATATATATATATATATATATATGGTGCCATATATAAAAAACTTATAGCAGGCATAAAACTAAATGGTGAAAGACTTGAGCTTTTTCTTTAGGATTAGGAAAACAGCAAGGATGCCCACTTTAACAACTTCTACTTAACATATTGCTTGGAATCCCAGCCAGATTATTTAAAGAAAAGGAAATAAAAGTCATCCAAATTGAAAAGCAAGGGTAAAATTATCTCTGTTTGCAGATGTTATGATCTTATACATAGAAAATCCTGAAAATTTCACTCCTTCCCAAAAAATGGTAAAACTAATAAATCTGGAAAAGTTACAGGATATGAAGCCAACACTCAAAAATCAGTTCCATTTCTACACACTAACAATGAACAATTTGAAAGGAATCAAGAAAACAATTCTATTTATGATAGCATCAAACAAATAAAATACTAATTAGCCAAAAAACTAAAGACTTGTACAATGAAAACAACAAAACATTGCTGAAAGAAATTTAAAAAGACATAAATAAATAGAATATCTCATCTTCATGTGTTGGAAGATTTAATATCTTTAAAATGTCAATACTATCCGAAGTGATCTAAAGATTCAGTACAATATTTTCAAAATCCCGCTGATGTATTTGTAGATACAAAAACAATTCTGAAAATTTTTACATGAAATTTCAAGGGAACTTCAATAGCCAAAACAATCTTGAAAAAGAAGGACAAAGCTGGAGAATTCATACTCTGATTTCAAAACTTACTACAAAGCTACAGTAGTCGAAACAATGTAGTTCTGTCACAAAGACAGGTTGATTGATCAATGGAATGAAATAAAAAGCCTAAATATAAACCCATGCATATATGGTCAAATGACTTTTTACAACGGGGCCAAAATTATTCAACAGGAAAAGGGCCTTCTTCTCAACAAGAGATTCTGGGAAAACTAAATATTCACATGCAAAAGACTGAAATTGGACCCTTACCTCCTACTGTATACAATAATTAACTAAAATGAGTTGAAGACCTAAATGTAAGATCTAAAACTATAAAACACCTATAAGAAAATGTAAGGAAAAAGCTTCATGACATTGGATTTGGCAATGGTTTGGATATGACACCAAAGACACAGGCAAAAACAACAAAAATATACACAAATCCGACTTCATGAAAACTTAAAAATTTTTGTGCATTAAAAGACACCATCAACAAAGTCAAAATGCAACCTACAGAATGGGACAAAATATTTGCAAATCATATGTCTGGTAAGGAATTAATATCCAGACTATATTTCTAAATATATTGGTAAAATTCATCGACAAAAAAAAAGAAAAAAAAGTAAAAACAAACAAAGAACTTGAGTTGTAACTTATCAAAAGACAACATACAAACTACAAATAGGGACATAAGATGCTCAACAACACCAATCATTAGGGAAATGCAAATCAAAATTACCATGAGATATCACCTCATGTCCAATAAATTGGCTAGTCTCAAAAAAACCAACCAACCAAACAACAACAACAACAACAACAACAAAAGAAAATAACTATTGTTTGGAGGATGTGGAGAAATTGGAACCATGGTACACTGTGGTGGAGAATGCAAAATGGTGCAACTGTCATGGAAAGCTGTATGACAGTTCATAAAAAAATCAAATCTAGAATTAACATACGATTCAGCAATTCTGCTTCTGGGTATATGCCCAAAGTATTAAAAGCAGGGCCTTGAAGATATGTTTGCACACCCATGTTTACAGCAGCATTCATCAACAATAGGCAAAACATGGAAGAACCCAAGTGGCCTTTGACAGACAAATGCATTTTTTTTTCTTTTTTTGAGATGGAGTCTCCTTCTGTCACCAAGGCTGGAGTGCAGTGGCATGATCTTGGCTCACTGCAACCTCTTCCTCTCGGGTTCAAGAGATTCTCCTGCCTCATCCTCCAGAGTAGCTGGGATTACAGGCATGCACCACCATGCCAGGCTAATTTTTGTATTTTTAGTAGAGACAGGGTTTCACCACTTTGGTCAGGCTGGTCTCGAACTCCTGACTTCGTGATCCACCCACCTTGGCCTCCCAAAGTGCTGGGATTACAGGCGTGAGCCACAGCACCTGGCCTGAATTTTTAAAATATAGTGTATATATGTGCGTGTGTGTGTGTGTATACAGCACATATATATATATACACACATATATATACATATATATACACATATATATACATATATACACATATATATACACATATATATACGTATATATATCCGTTGTTTATCTCTATATAGTGGAACATTAATAGGCCTTAAAAAGGAAGAAAATTCTGACATGGCGGCATCATGGATAAACCTTGAGGACATTATGCTAAGTGAAATAGCCAATCACACACACAAAAATACTCTTTAATTTTATTTATACAAGGTATTTAGAGTAGCCAAATTCATTGAGACAGAAAGTAGAATGGAGGTTGGTGAGGGCTCAGGGAGAGGAGAATGGAGAGTAGTTTAGTGGGTATAGAGTTTCAATTTGTGAAGATAAATGAGCTATGGAGATGGGTTGTGGTGATGCTAACACAATAATATGAAAGTACTTAATACTACTGAAATATAGACTTAAAAACAGTTAAGATGGTAAATTTTACTTTATGTGTACTTTACAACACTGATCAAAATTTGGGGGAAAAAAAGTGTACCAGAGTTATACAAACATCCCTTTTAGTTATCATGCTCATAGATGCGATAAAAATGTTTACATTAATGGAATTTTAATATTTATATTGGTGTTTCATCACACTTGAGTTACCATTATACTGTTTGTGTAAAAAATATGTCCTGCCTCCTTTCTTGAGATATGGACAGGGTCACTCCCTCTCTTTATTAAATTCTGCTTAAATGTTGTCTCCTTAGTGAGTTCTTACATGAACAACTTATGAAGAATTATCTTCTCCTATCAGACCCCAAAGTCTCCTTGACTTTTATTCTTTTTAAGTAAAATATTTCATATTAAAACATATTAATCTGCTTACTTCTTCATTATCTGTCTCCCAATTTGACCATAACTCACTGAGGGCAGAAACATTGTTCCATGTACCTCTTGTCTCCTGCAGAGAGAGCAGGGGTTCAATACAAATTTACTGGCCAATGGATGAGTCACTTAATGCACTAAAATGGCAGGAGCCTATCTCTGCCAGCTGTTAACATTTCGGAGAAAGGGGCATTTACTTACTAACAGGGTTTTTTGTACATAAGACATAGTCAATACATATTAGTAGAAAAGAGTACAAGTGAAAGGATATTCTTTCAGAAATGTCTAATATCTTCCAGAGCTGAATTGGCAGGGGTAACAGTTTCAGTGACTGACATAGTTACAGATGGAACCTTTGCATAAGACAGTGAATGAAATAGCACCAACTGCAAGAAGCTAGCTCATTTGCAGTTCGTTGTTTTCATTAAACATACCCATCAATCAACTGAAACCAGCTGCTCAATTTTCAGAAACTATGGGTAACATTTTTTACTGAAAAGGATAATGAACTTACGATAAAAATACATGTGAGCCTTTAAATCAGAATTACTCGGCTAAGCTTTTATTAAACTCACATAGATTTTTTTTTTCATTTAACTTTTGAATTTGTCTTGAGTTCTAATAACCTTCAGGGGTCAGAGAAAAAGAAATCTTATTTTAGTGAAGCCTTTATATTCTGCTTCTGATAGATGAATACAGTTGAGGTAATCCTGAAGGATTTTTTTTTCAATTTAAAAATATGATTTTAATCACAAGAACACATTTCAATCACTACTCACCCATTTGACTGAATTCATGCCTGACTGTAAACTACATGATTTACAGACCTCATAATTCAATCAAGCTTAGTCTTCTCACTACTCCTTAAGTGTGTGCCAACCACATTAGTGTTCTTTTAGTGTAGCTTTTCATCACATCCCAGATTCCTTAGGGATTTAGGATTTCCAAAATAATTTTCTATGACCAATTATAATGCTCAAAACAGCTCAATTCTCTCTTTGTGTGACATATAGAATTCTGTAAGTGAGGTTTGATCAGAGCTTTAGCTCTAAGTTTCTCCTGTAAAAGCTGACTTTTCATATTCACAAGCTGTGTGAGTAGAAATTACAGTGTCAGTTCTGTGCCTTGCTCTTTATTTATATGGTATAATAAATGCATCTGGCAAAAGCATTCAGAACTAAAAAGAAGCCTATTTTCTTACTCCAGACTTGGATTATCCATACATTAGCCACTTCCTCCTGCTTTAGATCAATCCCTGCTATCAGAACACACCTTATTCAGTAGCATTAATTGGACATCTAGATGTGCCTTTTTCTTAAGCTAAATAATTCTGCAGTGTTGATGGTCCCTGATCTAAAACGGGACTCATTATGTTAATTTCAATGGGTAGGCTGCAGAAACCCTGTCTGTCTAAGCTCTATTCTAGGAATGGCTTGGTTTTAGAAATACATGACTCTACTAAAGTATGTCTGAACTCTTTCGGCAAGACATTTATCTGAAAGCAGAATACAAAGGTAAGCTTTAACTTTGTCATTATATTTAATCTATTAGTTGAGCACCTACAAATGTGAAAAAATGAGCTCCAAAATAAATCATGCCTTCCTTGCATTCAAGAGGTCAAATCTGAAAGGAAATATAGGTATGGAGGCAATAACTAAAAACAATATACAAAAGACACACACAAACATCAACAGGCATTGCGGAGGGTGTGCCGTTAAGAATGAGGTAGACTTCAATGCTCATAAAAAATAAAATAAATCATCCAAGCAGAAAGAATACAGTGAACAAAGATGTAAATACATAAAAGTGCACAGAAGGTTTGGGGGATAGAAAATGGTTCCATCTGGTCTATTGGTCAACCATTGGTACTCAGAGATTCTGAGTGGCAAATGAGCCTGGGTATCAATCTGTATCTACTCAAGTGGGTCAGAGATATTATAGATTAGATCAGTGGCTCTAAAATGTTAGTGTCCTTAAGATTAACTGACAAGTTTGTTAACATAAATTTTATGATTGATCCACAGAGGTCTTGTTTCAGTATGTTTAGAGTGAAGTAAGAACTATGCATATTCAATGAGCACCTCAGGAAATTTTGTTTCAGATCAATACCACTCTTAGGTCTAGGCAAGTGGGGTCCCTGCTGCAGGTCCTCACATCAGAGGCTCCTCACGTTTTGGAATGCCTTTCTCAAAACTTTCTAAGCTTCTATCAAGTGCTTAGAATCAGCTGTTCTGGCTGTGTGGCACATACCAATACCCACATGGGCTTTGGTCTAGTTTCTCTGAGTCCTCTTCAACCCTTTCCCACAGTTATGGGTTCAACATATGCCCAAGGACTTATGAGGTTGTTTCATGGCTCCAGTATTTCCTCCATGGGATCAGGTGAGATTGGGCTATGATCATAGAGATGGCACGCTGATTTAGGTAACACTCACGTTAGACATCGCGCAAGTTTAGCCCTCTAGGCTACCTACAGCTCTGACACTTAGGCTTTGAGTTCTGTACAGACGTGTGAATCAGCTTTTGACTTTCTGTTGGCTGTCATCTATCTGTGTTATGTCCCCTTGCTCTGTAGCACCTAAGTGTGGCAGATGTGATTACAAGGATTCTCTATCCTATATTGTCATCACTACTAGAACCAAAGGAAGTTTTCCATTACCTTCACCAATTTTGTGTCGTGAGTCAGGCAGTCCTTCTTTGGTAGCCACGCACTGCTCCATAATGTCAGTGGGCCATTCTGATTCATATTCTTTTTTGCTTCTGAGTGATTCAGTCACCTGCTGCTCTTCTAGGTTAGTCTTAAGCTATGTCAGCTGAGGGATGGAGATTCCTATGACATCTACATAATTCAGGTCCACAAATGTTTGTTGAGCGCCTATTGTATTCTAGACATGGTTCTAGGTGTGAGAACATAATGCTCAATTAAGTAATGACCGGTACACTCAAGGAGGTCAAAGTTTGTGACATGGACACATAAAATAAAAGAGTACCTGTTATTACAGCACATTCTAGAAGAATAGAAAGCACAAATCATTAGGGGGAACATAGAAAAGTAAGTAATAATTAATGCCTGAACTTGCATTTAAGTCAACCCAGAATATGTTTTTAAGTAAGTATTCGTTTATTCTTTCAAAAGGAACTATTTTGGTGCATGTCTACACTGTGCTCTATATTATACTAGTCACTGACAATGGAGAAAACTGTCAAAGAATGGCATGAAGGGCACACAATTACACACAGAAACAAGTTGAACAATAAATGAACTTTTCTTAGGCTGTGGTCTTCCTCAGGGATATGTACCTCATCTGTTGATAACAAAGGCAAGATTTTTGTTTCAGATTTTTTGAATAAGTGAAAGGAAAAAAATTTGATGTTTTCAGAATTTAAAAAGGAAAGAAACAACAAACAACCAAACAGCATGTATCTCAGGCCCTTGAAGTCACTTTCTCCCCACAACTAGTTTACAAACTACCCACGACAAGTTTGTTTAGAGTTGATCCCTACTTGACGGATGAATTGCTTGTCAAAGCTTTAAGAGATGAAAATAATCTGAATGACGAGGAGCTGGATAAGATAGCATCCATGAATATAAGGTTCTCTATATTTTTTCATCATTCGTAACAGCAAACCTCTTCATTGAATCCTATACAGAGGCATACTTCTACATGCTAACTCAGTGAGCTGTTGGTTTGTTATTATTCCAGCCTCATCTCATCATTAGAAGGAGTTATTCATTATGCTTATTTGTTGAGTTCCTGTAATGTAACACATCCTGTTTGCCAATTGAGATAGTGAACTCTGAAAATAGCAGCAATTATTATTCTTATTATTGTCAATATTTTATTATATATATAAAAGCACCTCCTGAGCTTAACATCACAATTATAAAAATAATAATTAATAGTATAGATTTTTGAAGCCATCTATTAATCTACATTGTGTGGTTTGCTAAAGGAGATCTTAGTGTTTGAAAACCACTGACTCGACCTATGTGGATGATTTAATTAGGACAGGGAGCAGTTGAAATGATATGAGATGAAAATTTTCGTTGCATCGAATTTGGCTACTTTTCTTTGTGTCATCTCTGAAACATCCAACTGATGAACAATCATGTTACAAAACAGTGGATATTTCATTCCATTTAAACCCTGTGTGGAAACAAAGAATATGATAGTCAAAACATTTGTGAGGTCATTTCTTCAAGACACTGAAATATGAAATCGGTTAATGGTAGTCAGTATTAAGTCTTTTTTAAATGACAATTACCATTTGAATACATATATATATATATATTCATTCTGATAGTGACTCTAGGTTTTATACACACACACATGCATGCATGTGCACACACATACAAATAGCATAATATAGGGTAAATATTTATATAATGCAAGCTTTCTAGAGTGCTATGTTATGCTGTCACTTCATAAAATACTTCTATTAGCTTGCATTTTGGACAAATTTTGGCTTCCTCTGTAAATGATATTTTAGTTGAGATAGTTTCCAGGAGGAAATTGAGTTCCATAGAATTCTGTCTTTGAACTTCACCTTCAAATTAGTCATTACCAACAAGTATAGAAATCAGTGCACAGAAATCTCAATGGCCTACATATTATCACCTTCAGGTATTTTGCCATGAAAAGGTACATCTGGCTACCTTATTCCAGAACACTTTAAGACATATATTTTTACCACGTTAAGACATGTAAGAATCATGTGGGGGCCTTTGAAATACAGAGATTTCTAGCCTCTGCAGAGATTGTGATTTATTTAGTGTGGAAGGAAGGCTCTAACAATACTCAGCCACACTCAGACACATTGCCTATAGAGAGGAGACCTAATGATTAGAATCTAAAATTATAGTGTCTCTTTATATTTGATAGTGATTTTTTTTTCTTAATTATCTCTACATCAATTTCATGGTCTCATTAACTTCTGGATCAGTGATCTCCAAAGTAAAATGCAGGTATTTGAGGAGCAAAGATATTAGATTGAAATGTAGAAAAAGTATTAGAGCCCAATTTATTTTTAAAAATTCATCCTTTTTTAATTTTTAATTTTTTACCTTTTGACTATGTTTTATAATATAAAAATATATAAGTAAAATACTAAAACACCAAAAGCAATGGCAACAAAAGCCAAATTGACAAATGAGATCTAATTAAACTAAAGAGCTTCTGCCCCACAAAAGAAACTATCATCAGAATGAACAGGCAACCTACATAATGGGAGAAAATTTTTGCAATCTATCCATCTGACAAAAGGCTAACATCCAGAATCTACAAGGAACTTAAACAAATTTACAAGAAAAAAAACAACCCCATCAAAATGTGGGTAAAAAAAAAACCCATCAAAATGTGGGTAAAGGGTATGAACAGACGCTTGTCAAAAGAAGACATTTATGCAGCCAAGAAACATGAAAAAAAGCTCATCATCACTGATCATTAGAGAAATGCAAATCAAAACCATGATGAGATACCATCTCATGCCAGTTAGAATGGTGATCATTAAAAAGTCAGGAAACAACAGATACTGGAGAGGATGTGGAGAAATAGGGATGCTTTTACACTGTTGTGGGAGTGTAAATTAGTTTCACCATTGTGTACGACAGTGTGGTGATTCCTCAAGGATCTGGAACCAGAAATACTATTTGACTCAGCAATCCCATTACTGGGTACATACCCAAAGGACTGTAAATCATTACTACTATAAAACACATGCATACGTATGTTTATTGTAGCACCATTCACAATAACAAAGACTTGGAACCAACCCAAATGCCCATCAATGATTGACTGGAAAAAGGAAATGTGGCACATATACACCATGGAATACTATGCAGCCCTAGAAAAGGATGAGTTCATGTCCTTTGTAGGAACATGAATGAAACTGGAAACCATCATTCTAAGCAAACTAACACAGGAACATAAAACCAAGCACCATATTTTCTTACTCATAAGAGGGAGCTGAACAATGAGAGCACATGGACACAGGGAGGGGAACACCACACACCTGTCCGGGCCTGTTGAGGGGTGAGGGGTTAGGGAAGCGATAGCATTAGGAGAAATACCTAATGTAGATGATGGGTTGATGGGTCCAGCAAACCACCACTGCACTTGTATACCTATGTAACAAGCCTGTACGTTCTACATATTGTATCCCAGAAGTTAAAGTATAATTTTTAAAAACTGCAAAAAAATAAGCTATAACTTTTATAAATATGTATACATATTCCCATATGTATATAAAATACCCCAAAATTTCAAAAGTTTGAAAATTACTGTTTCTAGGTTACTGCCAATCTGGATTATGAATCCATAATAAACAAAATACAAATATGAGATCCTCAGTACAACAAAAGTGTTGTTTTTATCTTACACAATGTCTGCTATAGATGTGAGCACCTCTCCAAGGCAACTGTCCTTCATACAGCAACTTGGGTGGGAGGGTCAAGCATTCAGTAACTGCTTCATTATAAACACATGGCCTCAGGGCAACAGGGGTCTGGGCAACAGGGAAAGAAAGAGGGGAGAGTTGTGCATAAGCTCTTTGATAGAGTTTGGTCGTGTGTCCCTGCCCAAATCGCATATTGAAAAATAATCCCCAATGTCAGAGGTGGGGCCTGGTGGGAAGTGATTAGATCATTGGGTGGATTTCTCCTTAATGGTTTAGTACCATCTCCCATGGGACCGTCCCCATGGTAGTCAGTTCTCCTGAGATCTGGTTGTTTAAAAGTGTGAAACTCCTTCCCCTCACTCTCTTGCTCTTGCTCTGGCCATGTGATAAGCCTGCTCCCACTTTGCTTTGCCTTCTACCATGATTGTAAGTTCCTGAGGCCTCCTCAGAAGCTGAGCAGTTGCCAGCACCATGCTTCCTCTATAGCCTGTGGAACCATGAGCCAATTAAACCTCTTTTTTTGTTGTTGTTGTTGTTGTTGTTTTTTTTTTTTTTTTTTTTTTTTTTTTTTTTTTTTTTTTTTTGAGACGGAGTCCCGCTCTGTTGCCCAGGCTGGAGTGCAGTGGTACAGCGGTGCGACCTTGGCTCACTGCAAGCTCCGCCTCCCAGGTTCACCCCATTCTCCTGCCTCAGCCTCCTGAGTAGCTGGGACTACAGGCGCCCGCCACCACGTCTGGCTAATTGTTTTTGTTTTTTGTTTTTTGGGTTTTTTTTTTTTTTTTTGGTATTTTTAGTAGAGACGGAGTTTCATCGTGTTAGCCAGGATGGTCTCGATCTCCTGACCTCGTGATCCGCCCGCCTCGGCCTCCCAAAATGCTGGGATTATAGGCATTTCAACCTATTTTCTTTATAAATTACCCAATCTCAAGTCCCGTGTCTTTTATAGCAATGTGAGAATGGACTAATACTCTCTTAAAGTCACATTTTGTTGGCAAAGCAAAGTCCAAGGCCATGACTTATTGTAGGGCAGTGGGGAATTGCAATACTCACATGTACAAGAAATATTGGTAAGCAAATCTAATGTCTACTACATAATTTAAACAAATTTTAATATTTAATACAATTTATCCAGTTCTAAATATTACATTGTAGTTGTTCAAACACAGTAACATACCTGCATATCAGTGTTGATCATAGAACGACATATATGTTTATATTATTACAAAAAATATTTTAGTTAATATACCGCGTTTCACAATAGAGCCTATAAGTTAAACTTCTGCTAGCATATATTTCTTCTTATTTGAAAATCATCTTTTGATATAACATATCATATTATCTAATGCAAAGGAGTAAAGAATATTACTTTATCTGGATAACTATCACACATAATGTAAAAGCAGTTGAAAACTAATCATTTTCAGCATCATTATCACATTAGGTATTTAAGTTGGAGGGGAGGAAATATGATTAGAGAAAAACCTGAAATTTTGGCATTCCTGTTCCACAGAAGCAAGTGAGGTATTTAAATTATTTATTTCCTTAATTTAATTTAATTTTATTTTAGTATTATTATTATTGAGACTGAGTCTTGCTCTGTTGCCCAGGCTGGAGTGCAGTGGTGTGATCTCGGCTCACTGCAACCTCTGTCTCCTGGGTTCAAGCGATGCTCCTGTCTCAGCCTCCAGAGTAGCTGGGACTACAGGTGCATGCCAACACATCCAGCTAATTTTTTTGTATTTTTAGTAGAGACGGGGTTTCACCGTGTTAGCCAGGATGGTCTCGATCTCCTGACCTCCTGAATGCTGGGATTACAGGCATGAGTCACCATGCCAGGGCTAAATTAGTTTTAAGAACAAGCAATTCACTGGTTTCTATGCCAAATTTCATCCACTTGAAGGGACTTGGCTTTTCACAGCCAAGTTTTAAGCATGACAAAATTATAACTGGAAACATATTGTGTCCTCTGATCTTTGAGGTGGCAACTTTTCCTACAAAACTGGGTGGGAGATTGATCTCTTTCTTTGATTTTCTATTTTTCTTTTTGCTGAAGAATTTAAATTTACTGTATTTTAACCAATAGTTTAAAAAAAATTGCACAGCTTCAGTTAAAAGAGCATTGCTTCATAACTACATAATAGCTTCATCAACAAATAAGAGTCTGTTTCCTGCAATGAAGCCACAAATATGTTGAAAGGCCCCAGCTTTCTGCAGGATGTACAAAGATGTCCTTTTGAGTCACTTTTGGACTATTTTCCTTCTTTGTGGTGGCAGTGGTTGTCTGGATGCATGGGTGTACATTTAAAACACATCTTACAGATTTTTAATAATGCATTCTTTGGGAGGAAACAAGACCAATTTTTTCCTATGCTGTGAGCACTTAAAGCACTTCTCTGATGACTTATTGGTTTTCTTTAGCAATTGAAGATTGAGTGAACAGGGAAATAAAGAGGATTTTTGAAGGAAAGTAGAAAAAAGTACCTAAAACTTTTTATTATTATCAGGCTCATTTTATATTCATTTCTTGTCAGTGCCACAAAGTCTTTCATAGCCAAGTTAAAATCTCAACTGGAATTTATCATAGTGAATTAAAATATGTCAAACTCATTTATTTTGAAAGCTTTTCATCTGGTGATATTAGGTCCATAATGTTTATTTGTTATTTCACTCTCAATTTCCATTTGATATATTCAGTGATGGTGTGTTTCCAGCTCTAATTTATTATCATCTCAAAAGAAAAAAGAATTCTTTCAGGTCAGACTTTCTAGGGGGCAAGTATCTTGAGTATTTTCACGACCTACTTATACTGATTATATGATTAGATGATGACTTTGGCAAATTTTCCCTGGAGAGTTTCCTTCTGATCTGTGTCTTTCACAGCAATTTGGGTCTGTGTTAGAGCAAACACATCTGATCCATTTCTATTGTTCTTTGTTTCAGGAGTAGGTTTCACCTTCTTCAATGATATCATATAGAGGATAGTATCAATATGTTATGAGCAGTTTTCTATGTTTACCTTGCTGTATGTCTAAAATGGATATTTAAACAAATCAATGTATTCATTTCAATGTTTTTAAGCTTATCATAAAATCCAATCCCTTTTATCATCTAGTAAATATAAATTTTATCTGTTTGTCTCTAAGCTAGATTATAATTTAAGCATAATAAACACATAAATAGGTAAAATAAAATAAACAGGTAAAATCAAAGGTTTGGTTGAAATTATTTTTCATATCTCCAAACTCTTACATTTCATATTGTGTTATTTTAAAATCATTAATGATGATTGCTTTACCAATTTTAAGGAACTTTTTTTATTATAGATCCTTGTTTTTAGAAAATATATTCCTCAATAATCTAAATTACTCAAGTTTAAATACATCATTATTTTGTACTTTAATGTACAAAATAAGTACATTTATTTATTACTTAGTATTTTAAAAAATACTAAGTAATAAATAAATTTTAGAATTCTTAAACCATATACTAAAAAATAATAATTTCTCAATTTTTCCAATGTTTAGACTCTTAGCAAAATGCTCTTTTTGTGCCATTTTCAGTTTTTCTAATTTTTTTTCTTAATTTGTGATCTTCTGTCCTGTGTGATCACTAGGGTAAAAAAGACAAGTTCACAGTTCTCAGCACCTATACTCCAATACTCCAATTTATGCATGGCAGCCTCTTCTACAGAACCTTTAGCTCACTGGTTTTTAAGCATCACCTTTACCTCACACCTCATATCCTGGAAAAATCTAGCAAATTGAACAGGCAATATCTTGCCCACCCCCTTGGAGAGTTTTTATAACTTAATAGAGAAAATATATAATAAAATTGATCCTTGAGCTTATATATCAAGAATAAACTCTCACAAAAATCTCTCATT
Organism: Homo sapiens; assembly: GCF_000001405.40. Taxonomy (NCBI): domain Eukaryota; kingdom Metazoa; phylum Chordata; class Mammalia; order Primates; family Hominidae; genus Homo; species Homo sapiens. The sequence continues at coordinate 89,023,610 of NC_000003.12, forward strand.
CAACAAATAAATTTGCGGATTCAGAAATAACAGAAGAAGGGATTTCAGGTTCAGGAAGGAATTTGATTTTGGAAAGTCTCTGAATGAAAGCTTACTGTTTCCATAGACCTTACTTTGCAAGATACTTCATGAGGAGGGACATTGATTACACTGCAGCACATACAATGGCCACCAGAATTTATCCCTCTTCACTGCACACTCAGTTCAGCCCAAACTCAGGGAACATTTACTGTGAGTCAAGTACTGTCTACACATTACCTCAGGTAATGCTCATATCAGCCCTGTAAAATCCATGTCGTAATTATCATAAGTTCACATGTGAGGAAATAAATATTTACAGGCATGACGCTATCCAAGGTCACACAACCAGTATGTGACAGAATTGGAAATCAAACCCCAGACTCATTTGACTGCAAAGTCAATGTTTCTACCCTGTAGGCTCTACTGTCTTTGCTTTATGACTGCTTTATGTGCTACATCACATTTATCCCTCTCATCCTGGTCTTCCCCATTCAGATCAAGGGATATTCCTGGGACTTTATTATTTAGCATCTCTACTTGTTGAATTTCCCCATGTTTTACAAAAATGAACTAAAATAATTGTTTTAAATTCCCCCAAGTTTATTGTTTCTTCTTAATTTATGTTATTATTATTTTCTGAGATGTAGTCTCACTCATCAGCCAAGCTGGAGTATAGTAGCACTATATTGGCCCACTGCAACCTCTGCCTCCTGGGTTCAAGCGATTCTTCTGCCTCAGCTTCCCAAGTAGCTGGGATTACAGAGAAGCCCTACCTTGCCCGGCTAATGTTTGTATTTTTGTTGAGACGGGGTTTTACCATGTTGGCCAGGCTGGTCTCAAACTCCTGACCTCAAGTGATCTGCTTGCCTCTGCCTCACAAAGTGCTGAGATTACAGTCTTGAGCCACTATACCCAGTCAAATTCGAAATTTAAATTAACACAAATTCAAATGTTAAATATCAACTGTTGAGATAAAGCAACTAAAATGTAATTGTGTTAAATTTTAGCTTTTTCAATAAAACAACAACAACAAAAGTGACACAAAGTAATTATTGATTGCAGAGTACACTATCTCCTACTCTCAGGAGACCTATTTCAACTAGGAAGTGTAGTTCTTGCTCAGATTAAACTCTTCTCCGTTTTCACTTATGAATATATGTGATTTGAAGCCAATATTGTCACAGACAGGATGTCTAATATTTGCAGGATTGTGTCTTGATATTATATACTAGACTCAAAGCATCTGTAAAGCAATATGAAGTTTTAGATACTACATGAGTCTTTCAACCTGCCTGCCTTGATTACCCAGGGTCATTGCAAAGCTGTCCTCTCAGTTCCTATGGGGCCACTATTATAAATTAAAAATTAAAATAATTATTTCACAACAGAGGAGATGGAGAGTATACCTCTAAAGAGCAATATTGTTCTTTTTAAAAATTTATATGGCTTTAAAGATATTTTAGTTTCACTTGATGAATTTCCCTAATTGATCAGTAACCAAAAGATCAAAAGTAGGTCCAAATAATTTTATGATGCTGAACAGTAAGCAAAATTGCAAAATATTTCTTCTTGGCTGCCAACTTTTTCTTTGTTTTAGGACTGTGATGCAGCTCCCAGTTAAAGCATCCTGGTTTTTTTTTTTGAAAGCTACTTATTTGCTTCCTGACTACGGTCATGTGCTTTCAATTTCTTTTGCATTTTACCACTTACTTTCTACAGCATTCTTTTATGGATGAATGACTGCCTGGCAAAATAGAAACTGAACCACACTATGTAATTAAGTTCTTTGCACAATGGAAGTTAGTCATCGACACAATTAAACCACTGGCTTCAGGATCCAGCGCTGAGGGAATGAACAGCACAACCAAAGAGTATTCATTTCAATAAGACTTTCCTAAATCGTTGAATTGAAGAGTTCTGCCTGTTTTTTTGATGTCACAACAAGAATCCAAAGCAAACTCTCTTTCATAAACTGAAAAGAATTCATGTCATATAGTATTTTGTTTTTTCTATGTATTTTTTAAAGATTTTTTTTACTGTTTTTGAACTGTTAATAGAGATTTCAGAATATTGGTGGGAAGATATAATTTAGGGATTATTTTCTTGTTAAAGCCTAGAAAAACTGTTCTAAAACATAAAATGTAGTTTTTGAAAACAGAATATTTAAATGTTTTTCTATTTTAATATAAAGTATGATCCAATAATAAATACAATAAATACAAAATCATTACATAGATTTTAATATGTTTTAGTTTTTTAAAATATAAGTAACTTTTAGAGTTAGTTAAGAATGCTCTAGGACTGTTTTAACTTATTATGTAAAACTCAATTTCAAGTGATGACCAGATATGTATCTAGATTAAAAGATGTAATAAAACAGCTATTAAGTTGCTGGAAAAGTATTTTTTAAAGAAATTTTTTAAATTGTAAGTATGCTTTTTAAAAAAAAAATTTTGGAGTAAGATATGAAGATAAAAATCTTGAAGAGGAAACTATCAAAGGTCAATTGAGTTAATAAAAAGTTTCAAATTGCTCTTTGCCTTTTGATCATATTATTGATCAAAAACACATTCATAGAGTCTAGCTGAAGCACCTATGAAATCAGATAAAAGCGCAAAATATAGAAAATAATCCCACAACGGCACAAAATTGTGATAACATTCAGTATTTCTGTGACTGCAATTGCTATTGATATGTTGAAGAAATACATTTATGTAAAGAATGAGTGTTATATGATCTTATTGTTTGTAAGTTAACGGGAACATTTCTTCTTTGATATTTTGCTGTAAAGTTTTCATTACAATAACTGGCATGTTTAGACTTGACCACACTCAAATGTGTAAAACTATAAATATCCAGAGAACTCCAAAGACATTGGAGTTGCAATTAGCGTTTCTGTTGCAACTAATTTTTGTGATACTAGTTTTTGACTAGGCATTTATTTTTCCTTTGATGGAAGGTTATAAATAGTTTCTAGTTGATAGTAATTAAATATGGTCACTTGAGTTAGTCCTACAACTAGCACACTATTTTATGAACTTGCATTTAAGGACAACCACTAAATTCCTGGCAGAAGAGTGGAAGAAATAAAACAAACATGTCCAAATACAGTCTGACTTTGGAAAACTTGTTTTTTTCAAATTGCCTATGATCATTCCCCATCCACCTCCCTCTGATTGTGCCATCCTTAGCTTTTTCCATGGGACATTTAAAAAAAAGTTTCTTCCCCCTTAAATGTTACCATTCCCTCATAGAGCTTTTTCTCAGTATTTTGCTATAGCTATTTTCTCCAATGGATTTATCTAATAATGCACTGGTGAATACCTGTTGGTTAATACACTGGCTCTTTAGCAAAAGCAGGGAAGGCATTGAGACTTATACCAGAGAGAAAGGTTTCTTACACACATATGAACTTTCAGGTCCTCAGTGTTGTTGGATAATATTTTGAGACAAATTTTTCCTTTCACACATATGATGAAGGCAGCCACTTGCTTGACCTATATCAGGAAAAGGCAACATCTGGCCTCAGCGTTAATATTATCATCGTCTATCTTGGTTTACACAAGGTTGTAGTATTCTGAGTCACTGAAGGACAGTGTGGAATGTACCGTTAACTATCGCATAATCAAGTTAGAGAGTAACATAAGTGGGCTGTCAGAAAGAGCTAGGATTAAAAAATAAAATCTGCATTGTATAAAAATACTGGCTGCGTGGAGCTTATTGGTTTTGTAGCTCAAAGAATTTTCAAAAGATTAACTAGTTGGGAAACGGGTTGGAATGCTGGCAAGGGATGGTCATGGAAATGAAGCAGCTTGCCATGTGGGCTGGGGTTTGGTGAAGAACCCGAAATCAGGAGTAGATGGTGGGAAGAACACCAAGGGTGTGCCAGCCTGGGCTTCTACTGACTGCCCTCCCAGGTCTTCTGTGGTCTCCAGTGGAAACACTGTCAAAGTATGTACGTGGGTTCTCACAGGAATTATTTTATGTGAAATGATTTTCAGTTCAATATTCATTCCTTTATGCATCTGCCCAAAAAGTTATTATTAAGTGATTATCACCTATCACCTAAGATGTGAATCTTGATGTTTACAAAGATGTAAAGGGAGAAATAAGTACCCAAACAGTACAAAGGGTTTGGTGAGAATATAGAAGGTATGTGTAATATAAACTAAGAAGCTCAGTGAGTTTACTGAAAGAGGAGACTCAAAGGTAAAAAAAAAAAAAAAAAAAAAAAAAAAGATTAAGATGAAAAAATATTAGAAGTTTCCAGGTAGAGCACGAGCAAGGTCCGGAGGTGATGATTGAGCTCTTCAATACTTTAGAATCATACACAGAGTGAGAAAGAGGGCAAATGATCATCTGACTTTAAAGGACATCTAATGTCTTGAACATAAGTTTGGACTTTATCCTCTAGGTAACAAGGAACCATTGAAGGATTTCAAGCAGAGAGGTGACACCTTTAGATATGCCTTTTAAGAAGATTGTTCTGGGCACAGTGAAGAAAATTATTTGGAAAAGATCAAGATTAGAGGTGGGAAAACCAGCTCAGCAGTTGTGGCAGTTAGAAGGATAAATGGCAAAAATTTATTGTTTATGTAAATGGTGACCATGAAGATTTTATACTTAATGTCATGAATTCTCATGTTTATTTAAATATCATTCAATTATTTAGCCTTTCCTGCTCCCTTTTAAACTTAATAATGTGTGATATCTCTTTTATTGTTTTAAATTAACCAAATTTCTGGACAAGGAATATAATGGACTCTGTCAGAAATTAATAAACTTTTATCAAGAAAATATTATTTTCACCAAACAAGATATTTTCACCAAACAAGTAAACAAGAAATTCAGAAATGAGGCATCAGGTTCTAAATACCTTTCTATAACTAATTTTCATTATGAGATTTTATAAGATGTTTTTTCTTTAAAACCAGTACCCAGGAAGGGTTCAAGCTAGTGCAGGTTGCTACTTCATTTTAAGGGTAGTTTGACCGTTTATACAAAAATATATTAATAAAACACTCAACTCTTCCCATTTCTACAATCTATCTCTGCTGAACAGACTTTTATCAAATTAATGGAAGCTTTATTTACAGAAATAAAATTATTTTAATAAATATAAGAGGGCATTGATATGGACATTTATAGAACATTAATTGGAACAAAAATCTGGCATATTGTTAATAAGAAATCAAGATGTGATACTCCTAGATGGTAACCGAAGTTCTGCTTCTGTTAGTTTACCTTATGTGAAAGTCAATAATTCTAAATTTTACATGTGAACCATATTTATTGATAGGAGAGCCTGGACATAAAGCCAGAATATGTGGGTCTAAATTTTAGTTTATTCTGCTGATTGTATATAAAACTTGTCCATATTTTTGAGAATTTAGATGAGATAAACTAGATCAAGCTTACCTAACCCACAATCTATGGGCTGCATATGACACAGGATGCCTTTGAATTTGATTTGATTCGAATTGGATTTAAAAGACAAATTTGTAATCTTTCTTGAAACATTTTGAGTTTTTTTTTTTTTTGCGTTTTTGTTTGGTTTTGTTTCAGTTCATCAGCTATCGTTGGTATTAGTGTATTTCATGTGTGAACACAGACAATTCTTTACTTCCAATGTGGCCCAGGGCAGCCAAAAGATTGGACATCCCTGAACTAGCTAATACCTAAAGGTTTTTTAAGTTCTAGATTACTGTGAGTCTTTAGTTCTAATCATGTATAAATTTATAAACATATATACAATTTAGTAAAATGCAACAATGAAATATTTACAATCATTGATACCTGTTTTTATCACTTAATATTCCATCTCAATTTTCTTGAAATTATCTTTGCTCTATTACAAAGTCAATTTTTTCTCATCCATTCTTAATCATCTAAGACCATTTCTATTTGGTTGTGCATAAATATATGTATATCAACAATTCCAAATGTTGAAATTGAACTTATTCTATAATGTAGTAAAGTAACACTAGTCTTTGGATTTGGGGGTTGGTTCATTTAGATAAAAATAAAATAGTTGTAACAAAATAGATACATTAAAAACCCACACCATCAAGACTGAACTTCAGAAAATTCTTTTTTTTTAATTTTTTTATATTTTTATTTTATTTTATTAATTAATTTATTTATTTAGAGACAAAGTCTCACTCTGTCAACCAGGCTGGAGTGCAGGGGCATGATCTCGGCTCACTGCAACTTCCGCCTCCTGGGTTCAAGTGATACTCCTGCCTCAGCCTCCAGAGTAGCTGGGATCGCAGGCACACACCACCACACCCGACTAATTTTTGTATTTTTAGTAGAGATGGGGTTTCACCATGTTGCCCAGGCTCATCTCGAACTTCTGACCTCAGGTGATCCACCCACATTGGCCTTCCAAAGTGCTGTGATTAAAGGCGTGAGCCACTGAGCCGGGCCTAAACTTCCATGAAATTCTGAAGATCTTCAAACCCCTTCATATATGTTACATAACACAATTATTAAAGATATTTAAATTTGACAGATACTCATTGTATGTTTTTTATTAAAATCACAGTTTTTAAATGAAGTTTCAATTGCACATTAGAGGTCTATTACCCAGGAAAATATCACATCATATTAATAGAAATATTTTAAGATTTCTATTAAAAGAAATCTTTTAAGATTGAGAATAAGAAAACTTATTCTCAAATCAATGAAATAGCGGTGAATCTGCCTTAACTAGCTATGACCTAAGTATTCTCTTTAGATGTTACATTTTAATATTTTTTTAATTGCAGAGATTTAAAATAATGCTTTGACAAATTTTTTTCTCAAGACAACATAAACTTTGATGACTTGTTTCCACAGGCTTAGGAAATATAAGAACTTTATATGACAATTTTATCTAGACATATGCTGCTTATAAAATGTCATTTGCAAGCTACATGCTGGGATATATTCTGTCTAGTACATAGGATGCTTCCACCGGTTGAGCAATGTGCGTGTTTCAGTAAGAGTATAATAAAACATTTGAGAGTTTGTGACAGCTAAAATCATGACCAAGATAAATTAATCATTTTCTGTGATCCTTAAAGCCAAAGTTTCATGTGCATTTCAAAAATATACGTGTGTTTTGGAAAAGGTCATGTTTCATTAAACAAAATATGAATATTTTGATAATGTTCACTATTTTTAAAAACTACAACCGTATTCCCTATGATTCCCTCACTTTAGCAAAAGTAACTGTGTCCACTATCTCTTCAACCAAACATTACTATTGTCATTATTTGAATTGAATAAGAATGTATCAAGTACAAAGAAAATATAATCAATGGGGGTATTATGAAATACAGATGTCAAAATTCATATGTTTACTCTTGAAAATTAAATTTTAGGTATATAGATGGAAATGTTTCAGTGTTAAATCAGTTTCTAAAGCATCATAGATTTGTCAGAAGGCCTCAGTTGGACATAGGTGGGGTGCATGCGTGTGTGTGTGTGTGTGTGCATGTGTGTATGTTTCAGTGATAAGTTTGTGTGTGATTTCTGATTATAGAGTTTGAAATTTTTTCATTAAAACTTTCTGAACCAATACTAAAAATCGGAAATTTTCATATAACAATCTAGATGTTATTCTCTTTTTGAAAACCAGAAATAATGCGGAGGTGCATAGAGGCTTTAGTTTGACACTCATTTACATTCATTTGAGACCTATAAGCATTTGAGTTTTAAACATAGTTTTAGACCAACTCAATGAGTTCGTGGCTTCTTCTTACGTTAGGCCCCAGAGATAGTGTAGAGGGGGAGTTCAACTGTACAAAATAGTGGAATTTATATAGTAGCGGAAGCAAAGAGAGTAGATTTTAATTTTAGTTATGCTTATACAGATTACAGGCATTTCTTGCTAAATGTCAGAAAACAGTTTCTGAAAATTAGACAACCTTCATGAATGCACTAACCTGGAGCTTATTTTATCCTATTGTAAGTATAAGAAATCATAACATGCCTTGTGCACTCAATATGTCTCATTTATTTTATGAATCATTATGCAAGGTTTGTCACATCTGTTTTAACTGTTAATTTTTTTTTTTATTTCAGTAACTTGTTTCTAATAGATAACATTGCTTTGTGGTTAAATTTGTCAAAAGTGCCATTATTGTACATCCAAAGTAGCTCTTCATTATAACAGACTATGATGATTATAAAGAGTAATGCAATAATGAAAGGAAGACTTTGGAAACATCATACACAACATTAGCTATAATTTTCTATTTGAAAATCTAGAATTATTATAAAAAGGAAAATTTGACAATAAATTTTCTTAGAAAACATTTGAGAGAAAGCATCTATAAGTAGCCATTCAGGAACACGGAAATTTTATTTTGGAGGGCAACACACTTTAAATTTCTTTGCTAGAAGATTTTCCAATTTTTATATTTGCTTTTGTAAGCTGTAGTAAGTGGAAATTCTTTCTTTCTTTTTCTTTTTTTTTTTTTTTACCATGGCAACAAAGGGCAAGTTCTATTCTAACCTTAGGCAATAAATTAGGATTGGAATTGTTCATATACTTTGCTAATGAAAACACTGAAAAATGTATTAACAAATATCTCTGAACCTTAAAAGTAATCCTTCCTTCCTTCCTCTCCCTTTTTCTTTTTTCTTTCTCTTTCTTTCTTTCTTCTTTCTCTCTCTTTCCTTTCTTTCTTTCTTTCTTTTTCTTTCTTTCTTTCTTTCTTTTTCTTTCTTTCTTTCTCTCTCTCTTTCTTTCTTTCTTTTTCTTTCTTTCTTCTTTCCTGCTTTCTTTCTTCTTTTTCTTTTGTTTATTCTTTCTTTAGAGGGAGAGTAAAAGAGACTCTGTCTGTGTGTGTGTGTGTGTGTGTGTGTGTGTGTGTGATGTTTGCAGTTATGCAATAGTCTAATACTCATTAGCTAGGAAGTAGTGTTGATACACAGTTTACCACAGACACTATTTCAAGTATTCAGGAAGCATAGAAAGTACATACATACATGCATACTTTCAAAAAAATCAATATACAAACTTGCTGGGAAAAAAATCATGTTAACTTTGTGCTATGGAAATTTTTTTTCAGAAAGAATAGGAAATACACGCACATACATACACATTTAAGACAGTATTTCATTGTCAGTTTTAAGATAATAATAGGAAACATAATTTTATGAGTCATAGTCTGCTTGACTTTAATCCTTTCAGACATTGCAACCATTTGATTAAGTGCTATATGAGCTTTCTCCCCCAACACTCTCAAAGTGTCATCTGTCATAGCCTTGCTGTCACAGCTATAAAATATGACTGTCTAATGATATTAGAGCTAAGAAATATGATGTTGGGTTTGGCTTTTCAGATCACAATGATTCCTTACTGTAAGCCATGTAGCATGTTCCCAGTGTACATAACGGAAAAGGAGATTATAAATTGAACACATAAACATAGCAGATTTTGGGGGGAAAGACTGTAAAAAGTAACATTATTTTACGGTTAGACATATTCAATCCAAAATCGCATGAAAATAAAAACTTATTGTCTCCAAATTTCATTTTTTTCTAAGAACATTCCTATAAATTTATTATTTTGAGGATATGAAAAATTATATACATAAGCTAAATCACCTGATCAGAATATTTGCTTGAGTTGTCTATATTAATACTGTATCTAGATTTGTTATTATCTGGTCCCTAAAAATATCCTAATATGTTGCTGACACTGTAAGTGTCAACTAAATGTGGAGCATGATCTCATGGGATTTGTGATAAGAGAAAATATTTTCTATTTCCTGTTAAAATATATAATTCAGCTGTGTCACTGTGTCATATTGGGCAAGTTACTTAACTTCTCTTTCTTATTGTCCTTATGTATAAAACTATGCTTTCAATATTTTACTAGCAGAGACTAGTGTGAATTAAATTTAAAAAATACATGTGAAAAAATTAGAAGTCTTGACTCATAGAAAGTGCTCAATAACATATAGTTATATTTATCATTGGGAATATTGCTGAAAACATGTGGTAAATCTATTCCTGTTCATAAACAATGCCATAATTTAGATCTGTAATTTGGGAACTTTGGTCCCATACTTCTAAAATAATTAAACAACTTGTAGAGAATAAAAAGAATATAACAAAATTAATTGAGGAGATTAGGGTACATCCAAGAATCATTGCTTTGGTTCACGGAGCTTTATGAATTATGAGATATGTCAAAGTAGACAATAAAGAAATGTGAAAAGTAGAAGTAGCCTAAAAGGAAATAAAGATGACCATTAGGGGAAAATATAATATTTTGAATGGATGAGGTTTAGCCAGACTATTATATGTGAAAAGTATGGTGTATTGTTTAGCAAACAACAACTGAGAAGAGTGTACAAAACTCAGATGCATAGAATCTGTCCTCCAAAAATACATGTGCAAGTAAAGGAACTGGAAAATACATAAATACCATAAGACAAACTTGCCAGACTGGAAAAATGCACAAAGGGCATGAAATACTTGTGGAATGGTAATGTGAGGATTGCTTTGGACCGTCTTCTAAAACAAAACAACCATAACTTTCCACAAAGCAACTATAGCTCATGAAAATTACAAAAACAAAAAATTAAAAATAAAACCTCTTTAAGTCTCTGGAAATTGTCCTAAGGGCATACAGCAAATGGAGAAACATTTACTCAATAGAGTCTATGCAATTGGAATCTGTGCCATTTCACCTATAACCTACTCACCCTCCTCCCCCAGCTCAGTGTGACAAAAGTTCTACTGAAGGCAGGTGTAGCCAAGAAGATAGAACTCACTCTTCTCCCAGCTCCCTGTCTAACATTTTGACTTCTTCCTAAGAAGTAAAAGCTATGAGCATTACTACTCATCCATTCTTCCCAGCTCCATTGAAAAAGCTTTATTCCAAGGGGCGGTTCCAAGATGGCCGAATAGGAACAGCTCCAGTCTACAGCTCCCAGTGTAAGCGACACAGAAGACGGGTGATTTCTGCATTTCCAACTGAGGTACCGGGTTCGTCTCACTGGGGCTTGTTGGACAGTGGGTGCAGGACAGTGGGTGCAGCGCAACGAGCGTGAGCCGAAGCAGGGCGAGGCATTGCCTCACTTGGGAAGCACAAGGGGTCAGGGAATTCCCTTTCATAGCCAAGCAAAGCTGTGACAGAGGGCACCTGGAAAATCGATTCACTCCCACCCTAATATTGTGCTTTTCCAATGGTCTTAGCAAATGGCACACCAGGAGATTATATCCCGCCTGGCACAGAGGGTCCCACGCCCACAGAACCTGGCTCATTGCTAGCACAGCAGTCTGAGATCGAACTGCAAGGCAGCAGTGAGGCTGGGGGATGGGCGCCTGCCATTGCTGAGGCTTGAGTAGGTAAACAAAGCGGCCTGGAAGTTGGAACTGGGGGGAGCCCACCACAGCTCAAGGAGGCCTGCCTGCCTCTGTAGACTCCACCTCTGGGGGCAGGGCATAGCCAAACAAAAGGCAGCAGAAACCTCTGCAGACTTAAATGTCCCTGTCTGACAGCTTTGAAGGGAATAGTGGTTCTCCCAGCATGGAGTTTGAGATCTGAGAACGGACAGACTGCCTCCTCAAGTGGGTCCCTCACCCCCAAGTAGCCTATCTGGGAGGCACCCCCCAGTAGGGGCAGACTGACACACCTCACATGGCCGGGTACCCCTCTGAGACGAAACCTCCAGAACATTTGCTGTTCAGCAATATTCTCTGTTCTGCAGCCTCCAATGCTGATACCCAGGCAAACAGGGTCTGGAGTGGACCTCCAGCAAACTCCAACAGACCTGTAGCTGAGGGTCCTGACTGTTAAAAGGAAAACTAACAAACAGAAAGGACATCCACACCAAAACCCCATCTGTACATCACCATCATCAAAGACCAAAGGTAGATAAAACCACAAAGATGGGGAAAAAACAGAACAGAAAAACTGAAAATTCTAAAAATCAGAGTGCCTCTCCTCCTCCAAAGGAACGCAGCTCCTCACCAGCAATGGAACAAAGCTGGACGGAGAATGACTTTGACGAGTTGGGAGAAGAAGGCTTCAGATGATCAAACTTCTCTGAGCTAAAGGAGGAAGTTAGAACCCGTCGCAAAGAAGTTAAAAACCTTAAAAAAAAATTGGACAAATGGCTAACTAGAACAACCAATGCAGAGAAGTCCTTAAAGGATCTGATGGAGCTGAAAACCACGGCATGAGAACTACGTGACAAATGCACAAGCTTCAGTAGCCGATTCGATCAACTGGAAGAAAGGGTATCAGTGATGGAAGATCAAATGAATGAAATGAAGCGAGAAGAGAAGTTTAGAGAAAAAAGAATAAAAAGAAATGAACAAAGCCTCCAAGAAATATGGGACTATGTGTAAAGACCAAATCTATGTCTGATTGGTGTACCTGAAAGTGATGGGGAGAATGGAACCAAGTTGGAAAACATTCTGCAGTATATTATCCAGGAGAACTTCCCCAATCTAGCAAGGCAGGCCAACATTCAGATTCAGGAAATACAGAGAATGCCACAAAGATACTCCTCAAGAAGAGCAACTCCAAGACACATAGTTGTCAGATTCACCAAAGTTGAAATGAAGGAAAAAATGTTAAGGGCAGCCAGAGAGAAAGGTCGGGTTACCCACAAAGGGAAGCCCATCAGACTAACAGCTGATCTCTCGGCAGAAATTCTACAAGCCAAAAGAGAGTGGGGGCCAATATTCGACATTCTTAAAGAATTTTCAACCCAGAATTTCGTATCCAGCCTAACTAAGCTTCATAAGTGAAGGAGAAATGAAATCCTTTACAGACAAGCAAATGCTAGAGATTTTGTCCCCAACAGGCCTGCCCCACAAGAGCTACTGAAGGAAGCACTAAACATGGAAAGGAACAACCAGTACCAGCCACTGCAAAAACATGCCAAATTGTAAAGACCATCGATGCTAGAGAGAAACTGCATCAACTAACGTGCAAAATAACCAGCTAACCCATTACTGGGTATATACCCAAAGGATTATAAATCATGCTGCTATAAAGACACATGGACACGTATGTTTACTGTGGCACTATTCACAATAGCAAAGACTTGGAACCAACCCAAATGTCCAACAATGATAGACTGGATTAAGAAAATGTGGCACATATACACCATGGAATACTATGCAGCCATAAAAAAGGATGACTTCATGTCCTTTGTAGGAACATGGATGAAGCTGGAAACCATCATTCTCAGCAAACTATCGCAAGGACAAAAAACCAAACACGGCATGTTCTCACTCATAGGTGGGAACTGAACAATGAGAACACTTGGACACAGGAAGGGGAACATCACACACCGGGGCCTGTTGTGGGGTGGGGGGAAAGGGGAGGGATAGCATTAGGAGATATACCTAATGTAAATGACGAGTTAATGGGTGCAGCACACCAACAAGGGACATGTATACATATGTAACAAACCTGCACGTTGTGTACATGTACCCTAGAACTTAAAGTATAATAAAAATATATATATATTAAAAAAAAAGAAAAAGCTTTATTCCATGCAAACATGACAGAAAGCACTGGGGTTTCCTTTTTCCACCCAGCCCTTACCTGCAAAATGGAAACTCTCAAGCTAGGTGCAGCAGACCAAGAAAACTAAGCCCCAGCTGCCTCCCACCTCAGTTTACTCATATGGTGGAGGTTCCATGCCAGTAGGAAAATTAGAAGACAAAACTACCATAGACCACCATCATTCCAATGTCCAAACGTAGGACAGAATTTTCATTCTAAGAGAACTGGGCCACTATTCTTGCCTCCTGGTCAGAAGCAGTGGAAGAGTTTCTGTCCAGGGGGGAGATGCATGCTGTAAGAATAGAAATTGCTATCACTCTCTCAAAAGACATTGACTTTTGAGGGTTCAAAGCAAGCCTCAAAGTCCGGCCTGACGAAAACGTTTCCGTTTAATCCTGCAAAAGGGGCCACACTCTATTTGGATGTGACTATGGAAAATTTTATGCCCCAGAGCATTGTTAAAAACAATACAACAACCAGCTAGTAATTAGTGAAAGGTAACTAGATTTGATGCCATTCGCAACAGATCATCCAAAGTTTAATAGGAAGATCAGTGAAAGAGACAAGGAGCTAAAACCCCAGATAAAATCACAGTCATCTGTGTGAAGGTTAGGTGAATACTCTGCACATACCCAAGCCTGTCCCCTCTGAAGAGCAATGTGAGAAACTGCACAGTGTGCAGTAAATAGACTTCACTGAATTGGTCCAGTCGAGTCACTAAACAAGTATACAACCAAACAATAAGATGGGAAGTGGAGAGGTGTCAGGATCCAGAGTTATTATAACTAGTATCTAAAATGTACAGTTTACAACAAAAAATTATCAATAATGCAAAGAAACAAAAAAAATGGGACCCATACACAAGAAAAAATGCACACAGTAGAAATTGTCTTTGAGGATGCAGTTGGTAACACTTAGCAGATAAAAACTTCAAACCAGCTATAACTATTTTGAAAGAAATAAAGACAACCATGTTGAATGAATTAAAGGAAGATATGATAACAATGTCGCATCAAATAGTGAATATCAATAAAGAGATAGAAAGTATTTTTTAATGAACTAAATAAAAATTCTGTAGATGAAAAGCACTGTTACCAAAATGAAGAACTTACCAGAGAGGCTCAATAGTAGTTTTGAGATGTCAGAAGAAAAAAAAGTCAGTAAACTTGAAGATAGATGGATAAAAATGATGTAACGTGAAGAACAGAGAAAGAAAGAAAAATAACCAGAGCCTCAGAGAAACATAGGACACCGTTAAATGAACCAATATATGAGTAATTATACTATGTGGAGGGGAAGTGAGAAGTGGAGAAGAAAAAAATATTATAAGACATAATGTCTGAAAACTTACCAAATCTGATAGAATACATTATTTCACATGTCCAAGATTCTCAAAGAACTCTAGTAGGAGAAAAAACAAAGAGATCCGGCTGGGCGCAGTGGCTCACGCCTGTAATCCCAGCACTTTGGGAGGCTGAGGTGGGCAGATCACCTGAGGTCAGGAGTTTGAAACCAGCCTGGCCAACATGCTGAAAATCCCTCTCTATTAAAAATATAAAAATTAGCAAGGCATGGTGGTGGGCACCTGTACTCCCAGCTACTTGGAAGGCTGAGGCAGGAGAATTGCTTGAATCCAGGAGACAGAGGTTGCAGTGAGTCGAGATCGTGCCATTGCACTCCAGCCTGGGTGACAGAGTGAGACTCTGTCTCAAAACAAAACAAAACAAAAAACAAAGAGATCCTCACTGAAAAACATCATGTTTAAAAAGGTTAAAAGTGTAAAATGAGGAGAAAATCTTACAAGCAGCAAATAAAACTCAACTTGTCACATGCAAAATGCAAGGAGACTGGAATAAGAACAGCAGCTGCTTTCTCATCAGAAACAATGAAGTTCAGATGACAGTGGTATGATGCAATGATTCAAAGTGACTAAAAAAGGCCTGTCAGCCAAGAATCTTATAAATAGCAAATTTTTCAAAAACTGAGGTAAAAACAAATTATTTCCAGATTTTAAGTGAAGTAATTTCTTGCTAGTAGATACACCATACGAGAAATATGAAATAAGTATTTTAGGCAGAAAGCAAGTAACATCCAGCAGTAATTTGAATCCCCACACACTCAACAAAAAGAGCACTGGTAAAAACAGGTAGGTAATCATAAAGGCAGTATAATTGCATATTACTTCTCCTTTTTTTTCCCAGTTGGTTCTATGAGGCCAATATTTCCCTAAGGCCGTTGTCAGACAAACACATCACAAAATAGAGAAAACTTCAGACCAATATCTCTTATAAATGTAGAAGAAAAAATTCTCAATTAAATATAGCAAACAAATCCAGTAACATCTACAAAGTGTTATATTCCATGGCCAAGTGGAATTTATCCCAGGAATGCAAGGTAGGTTTAACATACAAGATCAATATAATTAATCGTATTAATAGAATAAAAGATAAAAACCACATAATTATCTCAATAGGAACAAAAATTCTTTGAAAAAATTCAACACTCTCTCTTAATAAAATCACTCAAAAACTAGAAATCAAGGGGAAATTGTTCAACCTGATGAAGAGAATCTATAAAATGATACATGATAACACTATAGTTAATGGTGAAAGACTAAAACCTTTCCCTCTAATCCTGAGAACAAGGCATATAATTCTACTCTAACATTCTATTCAATATTGTATTTAATTTTTGTCAGGGCAATAAGGCAATACATATATACACACATAAGTACATATATATGTAAATAAGATTGGAAGGAAGGAATTTAAAAATGTCTTCTTTTGAAATTGATATAATCTTGTATGCAGAAATCAGAAGGAATCTACTAAACAATGATATAAGAGCTCATATAAGAGCTAATAAACTACTTCAGCAAGCTTGTAGGATTCATTATCAATATCCAAAGATCAACTGTATTTCTATACAGCAGTAATGAATAATCATCAAATAAAAAAATAAGGAATTAATTTAACAAAAGAAGTGCAGTACTTGTACTGTGAAAACCACACGATTTTGAAATGTACTAAATGAGGCTTAATACATAGAAAGACATCTATATTTATAAAAGCCTTGATGTGGTTAGTATATCATATAACTTTATATGATACAATACTATTAAAATGGAATGTCTAGAATGCCAATACTCCTAAATTGATCTAAATTTAATGCGAGCCCTATCAAAATTCCAACTGCTTTCTTTTTAAAGGAAATTGGTAAATTCATCCTGAAATACATATGAAAATTCGAGAGACCCAGAATAGTCAAAACAATCTTGAAATAGAACAAAGTTGAAGTATTTTCTGATTTCTAAACTTAATACAAAACGTCTATGATACAGATAGATTGGTCTGCCATAATGATAGGCATATAGAAAAATGAAATTGGATTGAGTTCCAAAGATAACCTTCTACCTTTATTGTTAATTGATTTTTGAAAGTCATGCCAAGAAAATTCAAAGGGGAAAAAATAGTCTTTTCAAGTAATGATGCAGAGACAAGTAGATGTTCACATGCAAAATAATTCTATATTCTTATTCATTATTCTTTATTCCAATATTTATATTATTCTATATTCTTATTGGTTATTATTCTATAACCTATAGCTAATTCAAATCCTAATTGTAAGCTAAACCTACAGAAGTCTTAGAGTAAAACATGGAGTTACTATGGGTTAAGAAATGCCTTCTTAGATATGACAATAAAAACAGAAGCAGCAAAAGAAAAAATAGTTTGGATTTCCTCAAAATTAAAAGACTTTCATGTCAAATCCACAGAATTGGGGAAATATTTGCAAACAATATGTCTTATAAGGGCTAAGTTTTTAGAAAATATAAAGGACTCTGACAACTCAAAAAGATAAATAACCCAATTTTTAAAAAATGCACAAAGCATCTGAATAGATATTTCTCAAAAGAAGATAGGTGAAGCCAAGAAATACATGAAAAGATGCTCAACATCATTAGCCATTAGGGAAATGCAAATAAAAACTACAATGAGATACCGCTCCTGAAACCCACTGGAATGACTACAATAAACAAGTAATTACAAGTGTTAGTGAGGAAATGGAGCAATTGGGACTCTCATACATTACTAGTGGGAATGCAAAGTGGTAAAACTGTATTGGAAAATAAAGTGACCATTCTTGAAAATATTAAGCATAGAGTTATCATATTACTCAACAATTCCACTTCTAGGTATATACACAAGAAAAATGGAAAAACACCTTCAGACAATATGTGTGCAGGAATGGTCATAACATTATTCATTAAACTTTAAACCAAAAGGTTAAAATGCAAATGCCCATTAACTGCTGAATGAATAAATAAAATGTAATGTATCCATAACAGAATATCACATGGCAATAAAAAGAAATTGAATACTGATATATGCTGCAATGTTGATGAATCTTAAAAATGTTTTGCTAGCTGGAATACATCAGTCAAAAATAATCTTATATGATATAATGCTATTTAAATGGAATGTCTAGAATAGGAAAATAAACCTCTAGAGACAAAGAATAGATACATGGTTTTAGAGGTGCCTGTGGCTAGGGGTAGAGAAGGGAGTACGGATTGTGAGTGACTGTTAATGTGTACTAGGTTTCCTTTTAAAGTAATGAAAATATTCTACAATTAAGTTGTGATGATGATTAACCAACTCTGTAAGTACACTAAAACACATTGAACTGTACAATTTAAATGCATTATTTGTATAATATGTGAATTATATCTCAATTAAGCTCTTAAGAACTATACAAAGAAAACAGCTAAACTTAGCAGGGTTTAAATTGGGAAACATTCAAGCAGTATATGGATATCACTGAAATAAAGAAAGAAATCATCTCATTGATGTGTGGGTAGAGCTCATCTCCAGGAGCCTGGGAGCAGAAAAAAAATGTAAAATAAGAAATTCAGAGAGCAGACAGCTGAAAATTTTAGTAATGGGGGTTAGTAGGTAGTGGACGTTTTTACAGAATTTCTCCTAAGAACAATTTTCCTTTCAGAAACTGGAAAATAATCTGCGTGAAGATTTTTTTGAAGCAGTCACATCTAGGAAGAGAAAAATAAATACTGTTGTTGGATTAAATAAATATCTGTTATGTCCATACACATGAAATGAACCAGATTCCCATTGACCACCTCCTCTCTCTAGTTTATTTTAATCTGTTTCCAGTCAGACTGAGGATGAATTTCACAGATAAAAGATGACACATTATTGGAGTTTAGAAATGGTGGTATTAGTTTTGCAGGCTCTCACCCTGAGAGATTTATATTAATTCCAGAATTGGCCGGAAAACTTTAGTTTAGCATGGGAAGAAGAGTGAGATGTGAGTCACAACCACAAAATGCTTTATTTCATGTGAAACTGGTGTAAGTGAGAACTTTAAATGGTATTGACAGGAGTGTGAATTTTCTTTTTTGAGAGTTCCACCTGCCTAAAAGTGGAAGCTTCCCCTGCTGCTGCCCATGCTGTCCTCGTTTGAGGGATAAACAAAAGCCTCCTCTCCAAAAGTCTGTCAATCCAGCACTTTTCTGAGGCACTGAATTCATTTAAAGTAAAAAAAAAAAAAAAAAGTGCTAAACGAATACATTGTCAAACTGAAAATGATTTTAATTTTTTAAAGGGGAACTTGGCATACCAATTATTCTGAATAATTATCTCAGCAATGTGTAGTTTTGTGTTACCTATTACTATGACAGCAAGAAATACAATAATATACCTACTATTCTAAACAATAGTTACTGCTGGTCTCCAAAGTATAACTAGCAAGAAATGACTCCCAAATTTGTGCACAAATACTATAGAAGGTAAGTAAAAATGCTGCTTCAGTAAATATTATCAAAAAAAGTTAATACCATATCAGATTGTCTGCTTTTATTTTATAAAATTAATCAAAAATTATATAAAAACAGGAATCTAATATCTTAAGCCAAATAATTATTTTATAATTTCTTGACAACTGCACACTAATTTAATTCACAGGAACAATTTATTGAAGTATCAACTTGCTACCTTTGATTTTTAATATTTCTTTATCTTTCCATTTTGATCCAAGAAAGTTATTTTTAAAATTCTTTATTATTATTATTTTTAAAGCAAAAAAAATTCTGTACACTTTTTCAACTTAGAGGCTAGTATAGGTCATTTGTTTAGGCTTATACAATAAAAATGCATATAATGTCTCCAATTTTAATTCATCTCCTTTTTTTTCTTTACAGTAATGAAGTTGGGAACATTTTTTCAAGTGCTCTTTTCAAGTACTGCTCTTTAATTTCAATTCATTGGCTGCTACACATGATCTGATAAAAGATGGGATCTGGTTAATACTCCTGATCCATTGTGTTCACATTGGCTTCCTCTGTGGTACCGTGATCCAGAGCAGTGCACAATGGGAGGCATTTTGGTGCTTAATGTGCATAATTATTAAGGTGCGACAAAGGAACGGAGGAATTGCCGAGGCAATCTGTTCTTCAATCTGGGCTGTCTGAGGGCCCTTTCAGAGCAGCAGAGTGCTAATTTCCTGAACATCTCATGATAAGCAAAACAAGGCTTCTCTGACAAGAAGGTTGCCATAAAAACATGCGGTTGGTGCATGATTTATTCCCCAATGTAATAAAAACGTCAGTGAAACAGGATGCTTAGTTCTCAGGTAAAGAAACTCTTAAGCTTTTATAAACAATTTATGTCCTCCTACCAAGAGGAAAAGAAAAAGGCAACTAGTATTTATTTATTTATTTATTTATTTATTTATTTTTTATTTATTTTTGATGGAGTTTCACTCTGTCACCAGGCTGAAATGCAGTGGCACAATCTTCTCCTTCCTCAGCCTCCTGAGTAGCTGGGACTACAGGTGCAAGCCTCCACGCCCAGCTCATTTTTGTATTTTTAGTAGAGGCGGGGTTTCACCCTGTTGGCCACGATGGTCTCCATCTCCTGACCTGGTGATCCGCCCACCACGGCCTCCCAAAGTGCTGGGATTCCAGGCGTGAGCCACTGCGCCTCGACTAGCTTATATTTTGAAAGTTAATGAGTCTCCTAATTTGCACTAATTTTTACTTCATGTAAGCAGTGACAAATAAACAGAATTTATGATGATTCTGGTGATATGGAAGTCCGCTCCTCTCCACATAGTGTAGCTTGCAAAACTTGCTTGACTATTGAAGAAATAGAGCTTACCATTGATAAATATTATTTCCTTGTGCATTGTTACAGATAGCTGTGAAAACCAGTGAACAGTAAAATTCCAAATACATATACCATGTAATAAAGTTATCACTTAAAAAATAAAAATGGATCTATTGTAATATGATGAGCTTGAAAATCAACCCTGTGTACTTCCTCTTCACCAGTCTTTAACATATTCTATTTAAAGCAAATGCCATATCAGAAAATGAAATGAACCAAAATTTACATTTCTTAACTTCCGTAAATCTTAGAAAAAGTGTTACTGTAATGAATGATTAAAAATACCCATGTTCCCTCTTAGCTGGCAGTATCAGGTTATGTTATATAATTTTGGTCTCCAAAGTAACCCATCAACTCAGAAGTAAAAAGCTGTGTTTCTTGGCCCCCTGTGAGGTTGCAGATCTAGTTACCTGGGAGATTATTGCCTTTCTTATGCTGCACCTCAGGACTTTCAAAAATCATCCAGAGAGCTAACAGCAGTGGTCTTCAGTCTGAGCCTTTTGAAAGGAAAAAAAAAAAAAAATCAAGAGCAGAGGCAGTTTGGAATATCCTCCCTTAGGCTTCTTTTAGGTGTGACTCTATTGGTATGCTCAGCAGCTTATGCTATTCTGCTCTATATGAGTGATTTGTGGATGTCTTTTATGATGGTTTAAAAATCATCTCAGACTTCTTTTTCTTTGTCACATGGGTAGCAATTTAAGTAGATTAAATAAGAGTTAACCCATCTCAAACTGGGTATCTATTTCATGTAGAGAGTAACAGCAGTCCATTCCAATTAAGGTGTTGCCTAAGGTGGAAGTTAGGAGCCTTAAACAGAGATGTGTAACAAAATGGAATATTTGAGTCACACTCTGAAGACTAGTGATTCTGAAATTTAGTTTGTTGGAAATATAAATTGTTGGTTCTCTGTGTCAGTGTGTCTGACTGAGGTCCAGGTTGAATCAATCTGAATGTTTAACCAGTGTCTTTGGTGTTTTTGCAAATCACACTCTGATAAACCCACAATATGTTAAGTATTACCAAAATACATAAATGTTTCAGTCAGTTGCTGACCATTACAATTAATCTCAAGCTGCAGTTTGATATGAACGTAGACTTGATTCAATCCCTCCTCTCATGAAGGGTTTCTGAAAGTTTGCACAATTAGCTGTGTCTCTATTAAATGTGGTAAATATGTGTAGTCTGCTGGGCTTTTTAACCTTTTATTCTCATTATCCCATATGTGGTTGTATTACCTGTTATTTTGAAGTATTTTTAAAAGTCAATTTGTTATATTTGTAAGGAAGTTTTATCCAGATTTCCAATCTTCATATGTGTTGTAACTAAAAGAGTAAAAATTTTTTTTCCCTCAGACTCACTCTACTACCATCTTACCAAGAACTCAAGGTGGGGGCAGGGGTTGCTTATGTAGGGAAACTATAACCTAGAAATGCAATCTAGTCTAAATTTCAGAAAATGGCTGTTGGAAGGGTTGAACACATTTTACACAGTTCTCAGTGGGTAGATCATTCTGCACTTCAGATGAAGTGCAAAGGTGAACATTCTGAAAACCAAGATATGCACAAAGAGACAGTTAACTTCACACAGTAAACAAAGAGAAACTAGGGGTGAAAGAGAATAGGGAGAACAGAAGTATGGGAGAGGTAAGAGAGATGTGAGAGTGTATTAGTTTCCGTGGCTGTTGTGACAAATTCCCACAAGGCTTTTGGCATAAAGCAATGGGAATAAATTATTTCAGGATTATTGAGGCTAGAAGTCTAAAATCAAGGTGGTTGACAGAGCTGCATTCCTTTTGAGGGTCTAGAAGAATCTATTTCTTGCCTCCTCCAGTTTCTGGTGGCTTCCAACATGCTTTGCTTGTGGTGACATCACACCAATCTTCAAGGCCAGCACTTTCAAACCTCTCTCTGCTCTGTCTGCACATCCTCTTCTTTCCTGTGTGACTGCCTGTAAGATCTCCCCTAGACTCCCTGTTATAAAAATGCAGATGATTGGATTTAAGGCCCATCCAGACAGGATAATCTTCCTGCTTCAAGAGCCTTAATTTAATCATTTTTTTTTTTTTTGGTATTTTGGGTTTTTTTTTTTTTTGCCATCATGAGGTAACATTTACAGGTTCTGGGAATTGGGAATTAAGATGTAGATATCTTCTTGGGGGGCAGGGGGTTTGTGATTTTTAAGCCTTCACAGGGGGATAAAGAGAGAACTTTTATCAGGAAGCTGAAGGTAGCACAGAAAGTAATCATTGGAAAAATCCTAGATGGAGTAGCAGCCAGAGGCTGTAACAGAAATATCTAAGATCAATTTTAAATGGTATGCCTCGCTGAGATAAAAACTATCTTGATCTTCCTAAATTTTCAGTGACTACTGCTTCAAAAACAAAGTCTTATGAGAGAAGCTATCTGAGTTTCACAGAAGTAGAAATGTCCATCAAAAATGACCATGAGAATTTTAATCCCTGCAAGAATTGGCAGCAGGACTTCCCACAGGACTTGAGGTAAGAGCTTAAGCTAATTTTATTTAAATATCAAAGAGCAGTGTTGCTTAGCTGATATCTGGATAGAAGTATTACTGTGGCTTACACTGGAGCTTAACAATGACTAAGTTTTTTTGTTGTTGTTGCATTAACTCTGTTCTTTCTTGACTATTCACACATTTCTGGGAGCCATCTTAGGTAACTCTATGCTTCCTTTTCTGTCTTTTTTTGCTATCTCATCGTGACCCGAACACCTCCGGCCTAAGCTTGAATGAAAGAGCTTGCTGACGCTCATTTGTATTTACGAAATATAAAAGATCTCAAGCGCATTGCAATAGGAGTTCCCATCTGCTTGCCCCTTGCATCATAGTTTTAACTCATTAAATATTGGGTGTTTTTTGTTTGTTTGTTTTTGCAGGGAGCTTTATTGCAGGGAACTTTATTGATAGTACTTGGTAAAATGTAAGACTCCCATTCTTCAGGGGTTCTGGGTTGAAAAATGCATCACGAAGGACAGAGTCTCAATGTGACAGGCGACTGAGTAGGGGCAGAGACTCCAGCAACTGAGTACCCCTCTCTCCCTCTCATGCTCTCTCTAAGGCTGGTAGAGCAGGGAGCTTTCATTCCTTGGTGGCCATGTGGCCCGTCAGGTCCAATACCCTGTTGCTACAACCAACTTCATTGCCATTACCAGGTAATGAGCTTGACAAAGTGGTCTTTGAGAGCAATGCCAGCTCTAACATCAAAGCCAGAAGGGTGGGTGTCACTGTTAAAATCGGAGGGGAAAACCTGGTGTTCAGTGTAGGCCAGGATGCACCTGAGGAAGTGCCCCAATGCCTGCTTCACCAACTTTTTGATGTTATCATATTTGGCAACTCTCTTCAGATAGCATGCCAGTTCCACAACTGACACACTGGCAGTGGATACAAAAGGCCATGTTAATGAGCTTCTCATTCAACACAGAGATGACCTTGTCCATAGCCTTGGCAGTGCCAGTAGGTGCAGGGATAATGTTCTGGAGAGCCCCACGGTCATCACCCCTGTCTCCCAGAGGGGCCATCCAGCATTTTCTGGGTAACAGTGATGGCATGGAATGTGGTTATGAGTCTCTCCATGAGGCCAGAGTTGTCATAGATGACCTTGGCAAGGGGACTAAGCAGTTGGTGATGCCAGAGGCACAGCTGAAAATCATATGGTTGTTTTCATACCAATTATGGTTCACACATCACAAACGTAGGAGAATTGGCGAAAGGGTCAGAGATAATGACCCTTTTAGTTCTACCTTCTAAGTGAGCCCAAGCCTTCTCCAAGATAGTAAAGACACCAGTGTATTCAACAACATAGTCAGCACCAGCATTATCCATTTGATTTTGGTGGAATCTCACTCCTGGAAGATGGAGGTGGGATTCTTGTTGATGACCAACTTCCTGTTCTCAGCCTTGACAATGCCCTGAAACTTGCCGTGGGTGAAATCACACAGGAACGTGGAAATCATGTAACTGAGGTCAATGAAAGTGTCATTAATGGTGACAATATCCACTTTACTGGAGTTAAAAGCAACCCTGGTGACCGGACATCAACACCACTAAATTCATTTACCCTGGCCTTCACTGTCACTATCGTTTCTCAGGGATGCAGTTGGCACTGTATGAGAAGATGTGGCTATCTGTTGAACAGGGAGGAGAACAGAGCTTTGCTCATAAAACTTAATATTCAGATCTATAATGAGAGAGATTATTAACCCCCATCAGGAAACACTTTGATTTTTGTGGAAAGGAAAGACTTGCCAGACTGACTTCAGAATTATGTAAATGCTATGCATACCTGGTATTGATTGTCTGCCCTAAAGCTACCTGGCACATCTAAAAGGCAAGCCTTCTTTAGTTAATTGCAAGGCCCGCATCAGCGTTTATAGTGAAAATAAAGAGATTATATTATATTATGTTATTTATATTATATTATAGAGGTGAAAACAAAGAGATTATCAATGGGCTGGCAGGAACAGGCAAAGAGAAAAGCCACTGATGCTATAAAGCCTTACACAAGTGGGTTTCATAGCACTGGTTCTGGCTTGCATTTCCTTAAATTTCCAGTTTCATAGACATCCCCAAATGCCAAAAAATAGGACAAGTAATTCAGAATGAGATGCTAGGTCACCTTTGCAGGGCATTCTAATGGGCTGCATTAGAGCTGCTTCACTTACAGGATGAGATTGGACAGCAAAGCGGAGGCTGAGGATTCTCCTGGAGCATCAGGGGCATGAAGGGGAGGAGGTGTTTTCCCTCCGCCTCCAGGTAAAGGGAAAGGGGGTGCTAAGGCCGCTCTTCAAAAAACTTTACATATTTTCTCTAGAGCTTGAGAAGCTAACATGTGACTCTTGCCAAGAAAAGAGTCTTGATGCCAGGGGAGCTGTGCCTGGAACTGATACTTTCTGGCTGCACAAGGGTTAAGTCTGCATTGGAGTAAGCTGAGCTTCCCCTGCTGGTGGGACAAGGGTTTGCGAATTTACCTATGAACTAATCCTGTTTGAAAGAACCAGCCCTGTCTCCTCCCTACAGAAGACTGCCTGGATTCCTGAAGGGACCTTTAAAGAATAAAGCCTGTGGGTTGGACCAGGGGAGGGGATCTTTGAGGTTCTAGTTACATTGGACTGGATGAAAGGTATTCAAATAGTTATTTAAAAAGGAGTCAAATGGAATGCGGTGGAGAAACGTAACATTTTATTTTATTTTTTGCTTGTACCATATGTAATCCAGAGGCTTTTCAACAAAATCGCTACAATCAGAAAGTAGTTGCGTTTGTTCTTCGATTTTTACAGACTAGTAACATAATTTTAAGGAATATTAACAATTAAGTTTACTCTGTATCATCATATAGCAAATATCAAAAAATAAAAATAAGGTGTTCAGGCCGGGCGCGGTGGCTCACGCCTGTAATCCCAGCACTTTGGGAGACGGAGATGGATGCATCACCTGAGGTCAGGAGCTCAAGACCAGCCTGGCCAACATGGTGAGACCCCGTCTCTTCTAAAAATACAAAAATGAGTTGGCACGGTGGCGGGCGCCTGTAATCCCAGCTACTCAGGAGGCTGAGGCAGGAGAATCGCTTCAACCCGGGAGGTGGAGGTTGCATTGAGCCGAGATTGCACCATTGCACTCCAGCCTGGGCA
The DNA here is from genome assembly GCF_000001405.40 of Homo sapiens. NCBI lineage: Eukaryota > Metazoa > Chordata > Mammalia > Primates > Hominidae > Homo > Homo sapiens. The sequence continues at coordinate 89,049,991 of NC_000003.12, forward strand.
ACAAGAGTGAAACTACGTCTCAAAAAAAAAAAAAAAAAAAAAAATTTAGGTGTCTAATATTTATTAACTATTTTTTTCCTAAATTTTTTTTTCCATCCTGATTTTCTAATAGCAGCTTTCCCCATTACTCTCATGCATACATCATAACTCTAGGAAAACCCCACCACTGACTTTTCCCTGAATACCCTTTTCTACCTTTATCCCTTGAAACCTATATGTGGATATAGTAATATGTTAAATGTTACTTACTCATTCAAGCGTTTTTGTTTTTCTCCAGCCATATATAAAATTCTCACTTATTCTATTGAAAAGTGTCATGATGTTTTGTTCTCATGGTTATACTTGCTCTACTTTAAATTGTATTTCCGTGCTTTGCCAGGTCAACCAATGTATTTATTCTTTCATTCAGCAAACACTTGATCACTGGTTATTATGTGCAAGGAAATGTGTTGCATTCCTTAAGCAAACAGAGATAGTCATTTTATCGACCATAGTCACTAGGAAATTAATAGTATTCAAAAATATGTTTTGAAGAAACATCAAACTGAGCATTTAATGAATGCATCTCTGCACAATACACTGTGTGGAATACAAACATGAATCTGATGCAATCTTGCCCACAAAAAGAAGAGCTTGTTATTCAATGATTAATTATGATATCATATTATATATGGTAAAATGTGACAAATGAGAAGCTGTAAGTATTTAGTTACAATAAGACAGTGCCATAAAGACTAAATTTCTGGTGTGGGTTACAAGTGAGTGTCTTGTTTATAACCTTTCTACCATCTCATATAAGTCTGTTTACCTTTTGAATGAGATAACACCACCACACAGAAATATATTTGTGTATTGAATACTACGTCATAAGTAAAGACTCTAAAGATGACTATGATCTGATCTCTTACCTCAAAAGAGGCTATGAGGCAAAGGGAGTAATAAACTTTTATGGGGATTATATTAATGAAGTGTGTGTGTGCCCAGGCGTGCGCATTTGTTTCCAGAATTGAAAGCCATACAAAGCATCTGGCTCTGTTGAGAAAAGTCGGGACATGGTTAAAGAGAAAATAAAAAATGACTTTAGAAAGAGCAAACTCTTTTACAGTAAAAAATAAAATAAAGTCTTTTTTCAAAAATAAAAGGAGTTTAAATCTAGAAGTGTTTCTCAGGAAACCAAGGAGATTGACTTAGCTGGGAGGTTTGCTGCTCGCTCTGCCCATCTTCAATGTCGAAACAAGGCATGTCTCAAGTGTCGCCAGTACTGTGAAGGCACAGCCCCTGGGCATCATATGAGTGAGAACCTTCACCACACACTTAGTTGTCACAATGCTACTTCTCAGTGGCAGTTTTCTGGACATAGAGCTCAATTCTTTTCTGCATTTGATGATATCAGCTACTAATCCTGATCCTCTTTCTCCCATTTTATTTCTCCTTAACCTAAATTTCTTTGTTGATGTCTGAAACTTATTTCTGAAAAATAACCCTACCTTCTCTCAACAAGATTTTTATATAAATGCTAATCTCCCTTAAGGTAGTGTGATTTAATATACTGCCCAGATTCTGAAACTTTCACAACCAGGTTATCACCCTTAGAGGTGAACTACTACCCATCTTGGCTACGTGGGTGAAGTCTAGACACTCTTCACAAGTGCCACTGTTTACAAATGCTAGGAAAATAGAATTTATTCCTCAACAAAGATTACAAAGGTTTACAAGAAAAAAGTGGAAAGCAAATTAAAAAAAAAAATGACTACCAGATGATTTTTCAGAAGTATATTTGGGTTAGTTAAGTATAAATACTTTTGGAAGAATACATTTTCTATAGAATACATACTAAATGTAATGTGGATTGGCAATTGAACCTTGGAAAATAAACCACTGAAGTTTCTTTTTTTCAAAACTAAATGCAAAACCAATTAGGACATTGCTGCTTTGACTAAGATGGACATTTTTAAATGCTTGGGGATTTAAATTTTGTATAACACATGCAGAAAAGAATTGCAAAACAAGGGACAATGTATTTTTTTTTCATTTTGAAACACTTATCCAGGCATATCAGAAAGACCATATGTTAGTTGCAAGAAAAGTTTGCTCTGAGGGGTTTTAGTTAGAATTTTGTAGTTTGGAGATCGCATATGACAAGATAGGCTTTCAGAAAAGATTTAAGGCTTTTTGGTAATGGTAATACAATCAAACTGCATTATAATGTCTAGAGACCCTACTTACAGATATCGTATGCCAAAATAACTGAAGTGCATTTTGTTGTGGTCACCCCACAGAAGTGAGATGAACCCCCCCCCCAACTCAAAATTTTGTTTGGATATCAAGATTGATGATGTCACACTCACCAAGAGGGTATTGAAAGGTTTATTACTCACATAAGTATTTCTGAGGAAAACAGAATGAGCTCTCAAGCAGGTCCCTGAATTTCTTGATAAAACAGAGAACAAAGACTGGCTTTAGGGTTTTTATAGTTGATAGGGGATGAGGAGAGGGTGAGGGTTCCTTTGCTTATGCTGGGACCTTTATGGTTTAAAATTCCCACCAGCGCCAAGGATAGCGCATCGGGCTTTCTTATCAGCTTGCCCAGACACAGAGCAGAGGGGAAAGGGAAGTCCTCAGGCTTGAAAGCTGCCAGCAGTCAAATATTAAAAATGGAATCTGACCCTGCTGCAATTCACCTCTGATATTTCACTAGTAGCTAAAGTGTGCAATGTTTCAGTTAACTGAATTTGAACTTGCTTAAATAAACCATCACCATGTTCTGTAGGCCTCTTGTTTGAGGCTGGTATGGGAGGTGAATGTTTTTTTGAATGTATCATTCAAGAGTCCAGTATTGTATAGCTTTGGAAGTGAAATGAATGCCTTGGTCACTATCAATAGTGTCTGAAACTCTGAAGGGAGTATGCAATATCTTCAGGAGGCCTTGTATTGTGGTTTTAGCATGTGCAGGACATGTTTGATTTTTAATTTTTTGGGTATATTTGTGAAGCAGGACGTCATCAGAGCTCTTTAAACCAAAAGAGGCGGTTGGGATATGCAATGTTTGTTGTTGCCATTGCTAGATGAGATAGCCAATCCACCTGCAATGAACAATAATATTTAAAAATAATAGCCAATCCACCTGCAATGAACAATAATATTTAAAAATAATAGCCAATCCACTGGCAATGACCAATAATATTTAAAAATGTGCAGAGGGGGCCAATTGTTGGACAGGTTATCCAATGCTAAGATGACTTCCCTAAAGTAGAGATACTTGTGCTGACCTTTGGATCCTATGGTGTCAGGGACATCCTGATAAAGGGATGAAGAGTAATCACCCTTCAGAAATCCTTATCACATGTGACGATGTTGCTGATGTCCATAAAGTATCCAAATTCCTTTTCTATTCACTCCATTATGGCCAAGGGATATTCCTGTGGAACCATAACATCTACAAAGATTTGGGGGATGGGGATGGAAGGGGTCCTATTCCTCTGATGAGATATGCCAGAGCACTCACATTTTATTCTGTCTTCTAGGAGGAAGCCTCTGTGGTTGCACGGAACTTGTGGGGTACTATCTTTTTTTTAATAAGGCTTTGCTCTGTCACCTAGGCTGAAGGTATGATCATGGCTCACTGCAGCCTCAACTTCCTGGGTTCATGCAATCCTCCCCACTTGGCATCCTGAGTAACTAGGACTACAGGCGCTCACCACCGTGCATGGATTTTTTTTTTTTTTTGGTTGGGGGGTAGAGAGGATGTCTTACAGTGTGGTCCAGGCTGGTCTTGAACTCCTGGGATCAAGCAATCCTCCCACCTTGGCCTTCCCAAACACTAGGATCACAAGCTTGAGCCACCATGCCTGGAAAAGTGGGGTACTTCTTTTACATTGAAGATATAAGCACAATTAGATATGTAGAGTCATGGGTTCAGGGCCTGTGAGAGCCTCTGTTTTCAGGAAAGCCCAGAATGCAGTCAGTAATGGCCACTGTAAGGGTATGTATGGTATAGCCAAAGAGGACAATTTCTTACACAAAGAGGTCAATTTCTTATGGTAGAAGTTCATGGACAATTTGTGGGTATTTTGGGTGGTCCAAAGACCCCAGAAAACTGGATGTTAATAGAGCCTCTAGAGTGAAAGAGTCTCTAATAGGCCTTAATGGAAATGCCTGTTGCCTTGCAATTTAGATGGATTTTGGAGCATTTCAGTGTAGGATGCTACAATCAAGGTTTGCTGATTTGTCAGCAACAGTATAAAAGGCTTAAGTAAAATTTGTAACTGAGGAATATGTTGCCTCCAGACCCCAAAAAGGCCTAAAAGATGTTTGCCTTCTTTAAAAAAAATTGTGGGTGCTGTGTGTTGACAGTGGTGGGGGTAGCCATTTGTTGACAGTGTTAGGGATAGAGTGGACCTTAGTTTACCAAATAATTTTTGGAAATTTGTGGAGTCTTGGAGGTTGTGGACTCTGGTACTATTTGTGTGGCCCTGGCCTGTTCCCTTTCTTCATGCTCCTTTGTGAGTATTTGTATGTCTTGAATGAGTATGTCAAACAAATCACCTTGGAAGATGATCATTATTATAATATCATACCTATGTTCCTGGAGAAAGGTAGATGTGATTAAGAATATGCCTGCAAACATTTTGTGTGATGGCAGGGCTGTTGCAGTACTCCATGTGTAGCGGATAAAGGTGCCTTAGACTCTTCAGAGGTGAAGGCAAACTGGCTGAGAAACTGCTGAAATAAAAACAGAACATATCAGTTAAATCTATGACTACAAAGTATTCACTAGTTGTTGATTGGATGAAACTGGCAATTTCAAGACTATTGGGTATTGGAATCCTAATGAATAAAACCAGGGCATTGAGTAATGCACCATTAGATGGAATTCATTCTTGCTAAGTCAAAGAATAAGTTAGGTTGAACTGCTAAAGAGAGAAGCAGTGGGACAAACCTCCCTTCTCTAAATAGGTCTTACATAATGGGTTTCAATTCTTGAAGGCCCTTTTTAAATTTATAATGGTGTTCATTGGTTATTTTTAACTTGGAAGGAGAAGGCCCATGGAATTCCATTTTTTCTAGCCATTTGTAAATGGCAAAGACTTAATTAATTTTAATTTTGCATTCAATGAGTGGAAGCTTCTATGTCCACTATGGTATGTTCTAGTGCAATGGGCTTTACAACTGTGAGGAATTTTGAAAAGGCAATAGCTCAATGGTTAAGGTGAGGCATGTTTCTTGTTGTCTAGTTTATATCCAGGAATTCTTCAGAGATTATAAAGGGGTCCCTTGTTTAAATATAGTGGGATCACAAATTTAGCTAGAATTTGCACCTCAGTAGTTATTCTAATTTTGAAAGTTCACCAACTGGTGCACTTCAGCAGATATTAAAATTAATTCAGGACCTATGTTGTAGAGGCACAAAAGCCAATCACTCTTATTTTATTGTATTATTGCATAAAATTTCTTAGTAAATTTTGAATTTTCAATTGAGTCAGATTGTGAAACTTTATTTTAGATTTTATTTCTTCACTCTGTGTCTCAGGGTTTTTTTTCTTTTCTTTCTTTTTTTTTGCTAGTTTGTTTGATCATTTATGAATATACTTAAGGGAGAAACCAAATTCGCATCTTCAGAGTTAGGAACCCTTCCCATGGCAATAGATGCTTTCTGGGTTTAAGGGCTGTGTACTTAAGTCAGGTTAGAACTAATTCCTTTGTTGTTCCATGAGCATGTCATGAGTGTGTTCCCCATAACCCTGAAAAATCAGGATCTTTGTCAGAGGATTAGGAAGCAGTAGCAACAAAGGAAATTTGTGCCTGGTTAGCCATCTACTTTTAAAAGTGTTGCCTCAACATGTCACATGATAGACGCTTTTCCTCTACAAGCAACCACCCAATGAACTTATATACCCCACAGAGTATCAGTCTTTCCCCTGATCACTTATAGTATGGGTTCCTGTCAATGCCTAGTTGAAACAAACAGACACACAGGGTAAGAGTTGCTACCTTGAGCCTGGCTACAGTAACAAAATATGCTGGCACAGAAACACATGAATCAATCTAACACACAGAGAAGTCTGGGCCAATACAGATGACCCAGGGCCATTTTAAAAGGGCCTTAATCCCATACTCCTGTCCCTAAGTGCTGATTCTTGAAACCTAATATTCAGGTTAGTGAAAGCTGAAAGAGGCTCAGTAGCACTCAGCTAATGAAGCACAAAACAGCACAACTCAAAGCAAAAGCTTGAGAGCATGGAGGAAATCCAGTTTAGAAGCCAAGGCCAGAGAAAAAAGATTCCCAGTGGTGATGGCCACTATCTAGACATCCTGATTGCTATGCCAAACGTTGTGGTCACCCGTAGCAGGGGAGTGGACCCTCCACCCAAAATTTGGTTCGGACGTCAAGACAAACGATGTTACACAATCCATGAAGAAGGTTTGAAAAGGTTTATTACTTACACAATGGGGCTCTCTGGGGAGAGCAAGGTAGATTCTCGACAGTGCAAAAAAATGGCTTAGAAGAGGGAGGATAGGAGACTAGCTCTGAAGTTTCTATAGCAGTTAGGGGATGAGGTTCAGGAGAGAGGATCCCCACTCAGGCTGGGACTTACATGGTTTAACCTTTCCACAGCCAAAGGAGGGAGAACCCAAGATTTCTTATCAGCTTTCACATAAGCAGGGCCGAAAGGGAAATGATGGGACTCAAAAGCTTTCAGCAGTCGAACATCAAAAATGGAGTCTGATATTATATTACTTTATTACACAGTATGTATGTGGGTGTGTGTAGGTGTGACTGTGTGTGTCATATGCATGTTAGAAGGAAAAGTTTGATTTTGAATATTATACCATATTTTCACCTGAGCTCAGGATGAAATAATGATCTATAAGGAATCAAGAGTGGTGTAGAAATAGCATGGATTTTAGAGTCAAACAGATTGAAATTCACATGCTTTTTCTCGACAAGCAACCTAATCTGCTAAGTATTTATTCCATGCCCTTGGGAATAGATACGTAATTTTTTCAGTTTTCTTCACTATGTAAAATAAAAACTTCATAGAACTGATGGGTATAGGGGCCAATGTGTGAATGCATGTGAACTGTGTGGCATGGTTTTTGGCATATGGTAGTTATTATTAATGCTAGTTACTTCTCCTTCAGTCACTCAGTAACTTCTATTAACTTATGAATGGAAACCTTGGCAATAGTAATGTTTTCCTAGATAGTCAATTCCCAATTATTCACAAGGGCGTTCTCCTTTCTTGGAAATAAAGTGATACCCCAGGAGTTTCCTGGTTCCCATTTCAGCTGGCCAGCATTCTTCATCCTAGGGTAAGATCTGAGTCAAACCAGCTAATTTAATCACATATTTAATTAAATCATTCAAAGTAGTTTCCTCTATTGTGTGCCTTTACATCATAAAAAAGCAAATTTGAATCCTTCCATTTAATGTCTATGAATCAATTGTCTTTTTTAGCTATGAATTTTAAGACACTTATTATGTGAATTTTTATCATGGTACTTTTTCTTTCAACAGACATGAATTGTGCACATTATGGTAGGCCATGGTGACACAGTAGGCCTGAAGACACATTAAAAAAATAAAAAGGAAAAGAATTCAAAATATGTGCATGTAGCAAAGCAGAATATGCTATTGGTTGGTAGGTAGACCGTGTGCTGCAATGTCTTATTCATTTGCTCTGTGGTAGCAAAGGCAACAAACTCACGACTATGAACTCCTCTAACTTGCTGTTTTCTTCAATTTGCAACGGACTTTTTTTTCTTTTCTTTTTTTTTTTTTTTTGATATGAGGTCTCGCTCTGTCACCCAGGCTGGAGTGCAGTGGTGCCATCACAGCTCACTGCAGCCTCGACCTCCCAGGCTCAAGTTACCCTCCTGCTTTAGCCTTCCAAGTAGCTGGAACTACAGGAGTATGCCACTATGCCTGGCTTATGTCTTTTAAACTTTTTGTTGAGACAGGATCTTACTATGTTGTCCAGGCTGGTCTCAAACTCATGGGCTCAAGCAATGCACCCACCTCAGTCTCCCAAAGTGCTGGGATTATAGGCATGGGCCACCACACCCAGCCTTACAAAGGCCATTTTTAGCACTGCAGGTGATGTGTTGCTGCCCCAACTGTATCCCGTTTACTATATAATTACTGTGGACACAGGCTAATTCCAACTCTAATATTTGCTTCACTGTACCTGATGATGCTCTCTAAATTCAGAGACCACTCTACTCACATGCCAGACATGCTTGAAATGCCAAGATTTAATATCCACCAGGGGTACACCAAATCAGTCACTGGTGGGAATTGCTCTGTAAGTAACCACCATTCCCATCTCTTAGAGAGGATAACTCAGAAGCATGTGCTTTATATGGACTTCCAGAGTCAAGTGTCGGGGGCAAAGCAAAATTAGCTGTCTCTACTCCCTGTGCTCCAGGGGATTTTATCATAAGATAAAGGTCTCTGTTAAAATAAACACCTCCATCATCACAGTCTTACAATAAAGCACTCCTTAAACTTTTTTTCTATGTCAATAGTAGAGTTTAGTGAGCACGAGAATAATGGGAATGGAATGTGCAGAAGCCAATAATACATCAGGCCCAGAATTCAAACTGTCTTCAATCCCATAGAAGAAACTTCTTAGCAATATGACTTTGGACAAGTTACATAGCATCTCTAGAATTCAATACCAAATCTGTAAAATGGGAATAATACAATTTCATTCATCAGGCATTATGTTCTCATGACTAAATGAGACAAACCATGTGAAGTTAATGGTGGGGCATCTGGCACACATTAATCATCTCATACAAATAGTTATAATCCTCTGGTTTATACAGTTTTCACAGTTGGAAGTTGAAAGTATTTGATACAATAGCATACATAAAATCAAGCCACCGGGCTTATTTGGCTACTGCTAAAGTGTTTTCAAAAGAGTTTTCCAAATGGGAGGTAATCCTAATGTTTACAAGTTATAATATTTTTATCAAAATTGAAATCAGCTCACTATATCAAAATGTGACTGTGGCTTTCTAAATAGTGCCAACAAATTTTCAAAGAGTTTTAGAAGATGTATCTATCGTTTATTTTTAAGAAAATCCCTACACATTGATAAGCAAGAAATAATGCATTATCTTTATACGAATTATTTCCATGTGCCATGGGAGATCTGAAGAGTTAATGTTTCAAAACACTACTAAGTGGTTGATAAAAGTTTCAGTTTGAGGACAAATAGTCATAGAATTTAATAGCTAAGAAATACCAAACATAGAACACATGGTTCATTACCTGGTGTTATTCCAATATGCTTTGTTATAATTGGAAATGAAGAAGGGTAAGTATGTGTAAGCCTGCACCACAGGCGTCTGTGACACTTCTCTTGGCCAAGCCCCAACCCCAAAGCCACAAGTATGTCTTATTGGATAAACCTAGGGCTTCCTCACTTGCATGCACTATGACACAAGTCACATATAATGCTTGTACCAACAGTTACATAACTTGCTTTGTAGCCATAGTAATCTTGCTTCTTCCTCTCTGGGGCCCATTCTGTCACTGCTCATTTGTCTTGTTCCACGCCGCCCTTTTAAGCCACGCCACGCCATTCCTTTTAAGCCCTGGTGCCTCAGCTCCTTACTCCCTAAAAATTGGCCTGGACTCTGCAAAGTGCAACAGATTCCCTTTTACTATTCACCTCTTATGTGACTCTGCCTCTTCTAAACTGGCTTCTGAATCTTTAGACTGCAGCTCCCTTTCTCTGTGCATTTGGCATGAATGTGATATCATTCCTGAGGATGAGAGGGATGATCTTCTAATCCAACCCTCTCACTGTACAGATAATGAAAGGACTTCACATGAGTTACTTTTAGATTAGAATGTTTCTCATGAGATTTTTGCAAAAATATTTACAAATCACTTCAAATGGTGGGCTAATTTCTGGAAGGTTTCCACCAATGGCTAGTCCTCCCTTCTGTGTTATATTGATTCCTAATAGTTTTATTCAGAGGATAAAATTTATACATTGTCCCCTGAGGTAAAAATGCCTCTTCATTAATAAGCCGATAGATCAGAAGAGAGAATGTATTATTGTCTTTGAGTAAAAATGCACAGAAAGCAAGTTTTTAAAATGTATTTAAATTCTTTATGTCATTAATTTAAATTATATATCATTCACATGAATTATTCTGGAATTTATTTCTTCTTTCCTTGGTTCCCTGAAATTTCCACCTTTTGTGTGTATGTTACTTTATAGTATTTAAGGTATATCACATTCTTCTAATAAAAATAAATAATGCTGGATGGGAAAATGTACAATTTTATTGTATAAGTGGATAAAACATGGATCATTTCTAGCTGGCTGGGTTAGACTACAGAAAGTAAGAAAAAAGAAATTGTGAAAATACCAAGGATGTTGGTGAAAGCTGGAATGTTGATATACTTGAGAGCCCAAATTGCATAATTTTCTCTTTCCAAAAGACGAAATATTTAAAAATACTCACAGATGGTGAAAATATCCAATATACTGTCCCAAGTATGTCATTCTCTAGGTGCACCAAAAGCATTTCTTTAGGCATTTAAGATTTAAACACTCTTTATGGTATCCATTTCACAGTTAATTATTCTCTGTCCATGTAACACTGTTGAAAGATTCCAGAATCTATCATTGTCTTTGGAACTAGTTTTTACAAATTATGAGTACAAAGTTACTTTGAATTTTATGTATTTTATTACCTAAATAAACAAATAAAGCATGAGGTGAATAGTTGATAATTTTTTAAACATCTGTCGAGGTATCTCAAACTCCATTGGAAAAATATTGTTTAATGTTCCTGCTTGAAAGAGAAGATTTGAAAAAGAAAAGAAATAGACTGTTGTGTGTCTCATTTTTACCTCAAACCAATTTCCTCGTTCTTATTTGGAAACCTTGGTTTAAAATCATACTGAGGAAAACCACAAGTGAATCCATTAACTACTTCAGTGACACACATCCATTTCAAACAATGAAGACCTTCCATCCAAATTTACTAGTGTGTCACAGCCGCACTTTAATCCTTCCTTCTTTATCTAGAATATAGCAACTTCCTCTAATACTTTAAAAGAACCTTGGTCAACATACTCCATCAACACTCTCTTTGTCCTTCCTAATACTCTTTATTTTGTGTTATTTAAAGATTTTTGTAAAAGTATCTTCCCCCCTTTAAAATGTCAAGTTTTACTTGTTTAAAATATATGTGCTACTGTACCTCCATAAACCACTGGCTGGGCCTAGTGGCAAGAATATGAGTTGGCTCCTCTTTAGGAAAGATGTCATAATTCCCCAACACCATCTTCACTCTGTAGAATATGGCCTCCAATTCTTCATTTAACAAAGCGATTCTGTTGAAAAGAACAACCATCTAACACAAACATTCATAAAATAGTTAAAATGGTTAATTACCTTTATGTTTTTCAGCCAAGCATTGCTTTATTTCAGCATTGTCAGCATAATTTTATTCACCATAATATGTAATGTAGATTGTCATGTTGTTGCTAAAATTTAATAAATTGAGCAACTATTATTTAATTAATCCAATAACAGAACTATCAACCAGAACACCCAGCAAAATCTTTGCTTCAGTGTTCTTCTATGCATCGGAACAGAGAATGGTTAAAGTGCTTTAGGGTCCTGATTTATATATTTCCTGAGTGATTTGGGACACACTGGAAAAAGTACTCCATAATAACCAGGAGATCTCAGTTCTCTGCAGCTCTGCAGCAAAGTAACTTCGTGATTCTAGGCCTGGGTGGTCTGGGTCTGATTCATAGGTTTGCAAGTCTAAGATTAGATAGATAGATAGATAGATAGATAGATAGATAGATAGATAGATGATAGATAGATGTAAATAGATGAACAAACTGATAGATATAGAAGTAGAGATAGACATATAGATATAAATGTGAATGTAGACATAGAAATAAACACAGATCTATTGATATATTGATACATAAATATAGATAGAGCAGAACAGAACCCCTTTCACATAATGTTTTCTCCTGTTTGATCAAAAATTTATGAAAATTACCTGGCACCTGTAGGCATTTGCATGCTTATACTTTGTCCTAAGAAATGCAAAGTGGCTAAAAGATCTTTTTTTACAGCAAAAGGTCTCTACATGCCTGGAGTGAATCAAAGACTTTTGTAAGATACACACGTACAGCTCTTACTGAAGTGTGGCGTCAACAAAGCATAGGGAACACTGAGCTTTATAATTTTGTTAAAGCCCCATTAAGAAAGGTGTCGAATTACAACTCGCAAATGGAAATCTATATGCTGATGTTTAGAAATCTTTTATCCGACTTTAATGGCAATGTCTCTCAACTTATTTAAGCTTGAAGTTTATTCGCTAGTGTTATGTAAATGAAGACTGGCATATTGGTAGAAAAAGCCAATCTTCATTCCTTAAAAGATCCAAAGATTCATAGGGAAGTAAGTTGCATTAAGCACACACACATACATATACACACATGCACATGCACATCACACACATATAGACACAAGTGAACACTTTCAAATTAATATATTAGATATGATTTTGTTAGATAAGCCACAGTGTTACACAAATATAATGTTTTCACTATTTCCTGTTTTTTTTCTAGATATATTGTTTGAAATATGTCCACTTCACCAGAGAAGTGATAAAGATCAAATCAGGTTAAAAGTACTCTGCCTTTAATTCATAGACTAATAACTCAAATTTACATTTTCAGTGACTTGGCAACCATTGAATTTCCAAAGCAATGATTTTAGTCACAGTGATGTATACTTTTTGCAAGAGAAAGGGAAATAAGAAATGCCAAAGCCATCCAAGTACATGATAGATAATATGTTTGATTTATATGTTTGATATATATTGACTGGAGTGGCAGTTTGGAATAGTAGTTTTAGATTTATCTGCTACATATGCTATACTGTTAAATGTTGATGTACATTTGACTGTTGTTGACTTGTTCTGTGTGCAAATGGTTTTGGCTCACAGAAGGCTGTTAGGTCTCTAAACTATTTCTCCCATGAACTGATGTAATTGTTTGCAAACATAATCTTAAATGCAAGAGACCAAAACCAACAGCAACAACAAAACATAGAAAGCAACATTACTGGAAAGTACTTTGGCTTAAGAAAAATAAAATATTTTTCAATAAACTAAAACATTTCTCTTGTGTAGAAACCTTATAGACTTCTTTTCATATTTTTCAATCATTTTTGTATTACGTCAGCTTCTCTAACTATGGTATTCAAGAATCCTGCTGGTAATTATCAAGATTAAACATTTATATATTATTTTGTTTGAAATTAATTACTCCTTAAGTCACAAATTGTTAGGACTTAGAACATACCTGGAATGTCATCCCGTTTGTTTTCCATAGATGACTGATGCTAAACCTGAGGAGAAAAACAATACAACTATTTAAAGAAATATAAATATATGACATTTTTAACTTACATTAAGAAAGTAATCATCAAATTAATTTAGGTGTATTCCTAGAAAAAAATTCAAGTTTCTTTCAGTAAGACAAATTAAAGATACAGATGATCATTTAGAGGGCCATTTGCTTTCAAACTTTGTTTAATACCTACTACTTGCCGTTCACAGGTTTATTTACTGAACATGAAGGAATAAACAAAGCAGAGAAAAAAACAGCTATCTTGGAGCTCATATTTTAGTGGAGGAAGTGAGGTAAATGAATAAAGTTGGGTATATCTTGTTTACAAATACATAAGCTGTAGGCAAATATTATGTTACCTAATAGTGTGTTGCTTACCTAGATTAATAGAGAAAACATCACAGAATCAAAAGCTCTTAGTATTAATCTAGAGTCTGAAACACTCAAGCCACTTTCATAAGTTATTTAGCAGTTTTAGCTTCAGTTTTGACTCAAGTTAATTGTGAATTATATATACACCCAGTCTTCCTCATACTATTTCTCTGAATCTCACATGTGATCAATGTACAATATAGCACTTTGTAAAGCTGTGTCAAGCGTTGCATAAACAGAAAGCAGTGTCATTATAGCTAGAAGTTGATGTGGGGAAGAAAGTAAACTACAACATGACAAACAAAATCCATAGAGCATTCCTGGATCTTTTTATTTTTAGTTTTTATTTTAAGTTCAGGGGTACATGTGCAGTTTTGTTGCATAGGTAAACTTGTGTCATGGGGGTTTCTTGTACAGATTATTTCATCACCTAGGTGTTAAGGCTAGCAGCCATTAGTTATTTTTCCTGATTCTCTCCTTCCTTTCAACCTGTCTCCTCCAAAAGACCGCGGTGTGTTTTCTTCCCCTCTGTGTGTCCATATGCTCTCATCACTTATGTCCCACTTATAAGTGAGAACATGAGGTATTTGGTTTTCTTCTTCTTTTTTTTTTTTTTTTTTTTGAGATGGAGTCTCGCTCTGTAGCCCAGGCTGGAGTGCAGTGGCGGGATCTCGGCTCACTGCAAGCTCCGTCTCCCGGGTTCGCGCCATTCTCCTGCCTCAGCCTCCCGAGTAGCTGAGTGGCTGGGACTACAGGCGCCCACCACCACGCCCGGCTAATTTTTTGTATTATTAGTAGAGACGGGGTTTCACCGTGTAAGCCAGGATGTTTCGATCTCCTGACCTCGTGATCCGCCCGCCTTGGCCTCCCAAAGTGCTGGGATTACAGGCCTGAGCCACCGAGCCCGGCCGGTATTTGGTTTTCAGTTCCTGTGTTAGTTTTCTAAGTATGATGACCTCCAGCTCCATCCATGTCATTGCAAAGGACATGATCTCGTTCTTTTTTATGGTGTATAGTATTGCACTGTGTATATGTACCAGGTTTTCTTTATCTAGTTTATCATTGATGGGACTTTAGGTTGATTCCATTTCTTTACTATTGTGAATAATGTTGCAATTGTGAATAGTATTGTAATCTTAACAAGTGCTAGCAATTGGCCAGCAAAGTAACAATTAATATGAGCCAGTAAATGAAGATTGTAAGAACTCTGGACTTGTACATACTCAGTTTTGCCCTATCCGGGTCCACCCTGAGCATGTAGAGTACTGGAGCCTTCTCCTCAGAGAGGCTCATGTTTTAAGGGGACCAATTTGCTACATGACAAGTGGTAATGCAACAAAGATTCTAGGAACAGTTACTGGAATAAAAAGAGATCCCTCTCTCACTTACTTGTGCTAAAAACCACTGACAACTTCTCAAAAAGGTACAAGAGAGAGCTGTCTCTACATTTTAAGGTTTTCCATTAATTTTTATTTTTAATTTAAATTTGCTCTTGACAGTCGCCTTGAACCCATTGCATCTGCTTTAAATGTTGGCATTAGGTCTGGAGTTAGAATGAGAAATCCAAGTAACATTTTTTTCTTAGGTTCTGTGCCTTTCATAGTAGTGGTTCTCAAAATAGTGTGAGTTGAAGTCAACTGTTGATCTTAGAGGACATTGACATCCTGGACACTAGTACAAATATTCTGATTTGGTAAGTCTGGAATGTGTCCCAAATCTGCATACTAAATAGTACCCACCTATCCCTCCATTCTAATTCTCTTGATCATAATAATACATTTTGAAGAAAACAAATGAAGATTAATAGACAACCCTAAGAATACCTAGATTAATATTTTATTTTAGAAAATTACTTGCAAACTTTATAAATGAGATTACTTTTAGGGTTGCTACCTAAAGAAACCAGAAAAATAGTGTAAATATATATATATTTTGGCTTTCACTAAAAATACGTCTCCTACAACAACCTAAAAAATTCTGCCAGAATTGAATAAAGGAAGCTCAGGATTCTAGAAGATTCTACCCTCTGACTTGGGGATGCCAATAAGAGGACTTGATTTTCAAGAATTTTTGTGTGAGTGTGCCTGTACATGTGTGTGAGAGAGAGAGAGAGAGAAAGAGAAAGAGAGAGAGAATGTAAGTGCATGAGTGTCTGCCCATTCACAACACACACACATTTAATGCCAGGAGATAAACACTAATCTGCTTAGGTTTTTGTTGTGTGTTTTTATTTTAAAGATGCTGTTGATGCTTTGGAGAATGGACAATTCTAAGAAAGCATCTAAAAGTACATTTTCATTTGAAATAACAAATATAAGGGAAGGGAAGAAAAGGAAAAGAATGGTTTTGATTAAGGTTTTCAATTGTCTTATATATGTCAAGAACTTCCTTTTCTATTCCTATGTTTTAAAAGGCTCAGAAGTACTTGATGGGTTTTTATTTTCCTCTGAGTATTTTCTTGGATACACTGTCTTGGGTTCTGAGAGTCATAACTCAATAGGACGTGACTGGGGCAACACCAAAGTTGAAAATAAATAGCAAACTTGGGTAAAGGTTTAGGAAATAACATATATGTGGAACAGTAATAGAACAAAAGCAACCTTCGCTTTCAGAAAGACATGAATGAAAGATACTACAACTCTTTCAGCAATAACAAGGGCAATTACATAGAGTCCTTGTCCAGGTGTTCATCTCCATTGAGGGCAGGAGAGGAAATGGATGAAACTGAATTATTTATTTTGAAATAAGAAACAAATTTCTGAGACTGAAGACCAAAAAAACATTGTAATTGTTATTGTGGTGGTGGTGGTTTGTGTGTGTGTCTGTATTTTTTTTTTTTTTTTTTTTTTTGAGATGGAGTCTCGCTCTGTCGCCCAGGCTGGAGTGCAGTGGCGCGATCTCAGCTCACTGCAAGCTCTGCCTCCCAGGTTCACGCCATTCTCCTGCCTCAGCCTCCCTAGTAGCTGGGACTACAGGCGCCCGCCACCACACCCAGCTAATTTTTTGTATTTTTTAGTAGAGACGGGGTTTCACCGTGTTAGCCAGGATGGTCTCGATCTCCTGACCTCGTGATCCACCCGCCTTGGCCTCCCAAAGTGCTGGGATTACAGGCGTGAGCCACCACCCATGGCCGCGTGTCTGTATTTTATGATGTAAAGGAGCCATACAATAAAATTTTCAAATTGGGCCTCTTTGGTCTCAGTTGGTTTAGGTGTGGTGCTGCATGAGAGAGAAAATAGTGTAAGTGAACTCTTAGAATACATTTTATACCTATCATTCTGTAAATTAAAAATCTTAGTGAATAGTTTCTTTTTTTCAGATAGTTTGAAACTAACTGACAAGATTCTTTAGGGAGTTTTCTCTGAATTAAACATAAATTCTTTCCTATAATCCTCTTATCCTTTACCCTTCATCTCATTCATTCCCAATTATTTCCTTTCTCATGACAGTGGAAGTTAAAGAGGGTGGGGCACACAGAGAATGTTTCAGATGAAGTCCTTTCTGCCTGAGCTAAAAAGCAGCATTTGGAAAAGTTCATGTTACAATTTCCTATGATCCTAAAATAGAAACCTTACTGAGATTAGTTTTTTGAAAAAGAAAAACACATATCAATAGCATCAGAAATACAAAAAAAATTTATTAATTTAAATGCCACTTTACAATGTGAGATTATGAATTACTCGTTTCAAAAATGCAACTGAACTCGATGATTTAAGGGAATGCCGAACTGTATTTTGTAATTGCAAAATTCTGTAGTGGCACAATACAGTGTAAAGTACAAAGAAAAGAACGGAAAAACTCACGTCTTAAACCGCATCTTGGATATGAGGCAGCTATTAGAAATATCTTACTTTATGAAATACAACCTATATTGTATTCAAATAATAATAATTACATTTCCATTGATATACCTTATAACTTATATTTTTAAAATTTAGTTTTATCCCAAAACACATTTCAGTGGTGCCCTTTTCTCTGTCACTAAAGAGGATGGAGAAGGTTACCCATGATGGAATAAAAAAATCATTAAATAAAAATGACGCTTGGTGTCAATAGCCTTTTCTACTTACCATATTGTTTTTATATCTGAATAATGACCTTGTTTGAGGCAACCATGTGGCCAAACTTGTGATTTTCTGTTTTTTGTTTTTGCCAGATGTTTGCCCTTCCAGCTTTTTTCCAGCAGGGTGTGGCCACATGACATAACTCTGGCCGAGTTGCAAAAGAAATATGATAAGGGATTTTTACAAATTGGCATTGACATTTGATGTTTTCTCACTCTTTGTGCTTTAAACATAGATGTGTTACACAGAGTTGAAGCAACCATGTTTTGACCATGACCAACTGGTAAAAAATGCTTGAAAATACATCCTTCAATAGAGTACACTTCTGGATGAAAAATAATATATGTAATTATTGTGAGATTACTGAAAATGTTACTGAGATTTTTAAGACAATTAATGTCCTGTTCAACAACTATAAATTTCATTCACGCTGAAGAGAAAGATCTCTACATCAGACAAATACACAAAAATTATTTGTATTGCAAAAGTAAATAATATCCTCAAAGTGTTTTAATATACTCAAAGTGTTTT
This sequence comes from Homo sapiens, assembly GCF_000001405.40. Taxonomy (NCBI): domain Eukaryota; kingdom Metazoa; phylum Chordata; class Mammalia; order Primates; family Hominidae; genus Homo; species Homo sapiens. The sequence goes on from NC_000003.12 coordinate 89,068,369, forward strand.
AAGATATCCTTACATTTAATATTGAAAAAAAGTAGAAATATTTTTATTTGTTCTGTCTCTCTCTCCCTCCCCCCTCATACATACCACATAAAACAAATGTAAGTATTTCAATATAATATGTAAATATTGGCACATATTCATATTTATTCCTAATACAGATCACAATATAACTTATATTGTGGTATTTAAAATATTTTAGGTATAATATACTTAAGCAATTTTTATATTTTCAAAAGGAATTTCTTTTTTTTAATTATGCTTTAAGTTTTAGGGTACATGTGCACAACATGCAGGTTTGTTACATATGTATACATGTGCCATGTTGGTGTGCTGCACCCATTAACTCGTCATTTAGCATTAGGTGTATCTCCTAATACTATCCCTCCCCGCTCCCTCCAACCCACAACAGGCCCCGGTGTGTGATGTTCCCCTTCCTGTGTCCATGTGTTCTCATTGTTCAATTCCCATCTATGAGTGAGAACATGCCGTGTTTGGTTTTTTGCCCTTGCGATAGTTTGCTGAGAATGATGGTTTCCACCTTCATCCATGTCCCCACAAAGGACATGAACTCATCATTTTTTATGGCTGCATAGTATTCCGTGGTGTATATGTGCCACATTTTCTTAATCCAGTCTATCATTGTTGGACATTTGGGTTGGTCCCAAGTCTTTGCTATTGTGAATAGTGCCGCAATAAACATACATGTGCATGTGTCTTTATAGCAGCATGATTTATAATCCTTTGGGTATATACCGAGTAATGGGATGGCTGGGTCAAATGGTATTTCTAGGTCTAGATCCCTGAGGAATCGCCACACTGGTTGAACTAGTTTACAGTCCCACCAACAGTGTAAAAGTATTCCTATTTCTCCACATCCTCTCCAGCACCTGTTGTTTCCTGACTTTTTAATGATTGCCATTCTAACTGGTGTGAGATGGTAACTCATTGTGGTTTTGATTTGCATTTCTCTGATGGCCAGTGATGATGAGCATTTTTTCATAAGTTTGTTGGCTGCATAAATGTCTTCTTTTGAGAAGTGTCTGTTCATATCCTTCACCCACTTTTTGATGGGGTTGGTTTTTTTTTCTTGTAAATTTGTTTGAGATCATTGTAGATTCTGGATATTAGCCCTTTGTCAGATGAGTAGATAGCAAAAATTTTCTCCCATTCTGTAGGTTGCCTGTTCACTCTGATGGTAGTTTTTGTGTGTGTGTGTGTGTGGTTTTTTGTTTTTTTTTTTTTTTTTTTTTTTTTTTGCTGTGCAGAAGCTCTTTAGTTTCATTAGATCCCATTTGTCAATTTTGTCCTTTGTTGCCATTGCTTTTGGTGTTTCAGACCTGAAGTCCTTGCCCAGGCCTATGTCCTGAATGTTATTGCCTAGGTTTTCTTCTAGAGTTTTTATGGTTTTAGGTCTAACACTTAAGTCTTTAATCCATCTTGAATTAATTTTTGTATAAGGTGTAAGGAAGGGATCCAGTTTCAGCTTTCCACATATGGCTAGCCAGTTTTCCCAGCACCATTTATTAAATAGGGAATCCTTTCCCCTTTGCTTGTTTTTGTCAGGTTTGTCAAAGATAAGATAGTTGTAGATATGTGGCATTATTTCTGAGGGCTCTGTTCTGTTCCATTGATCTATATCTCTGTTTTGGTACCACTACCTGCTGTTTTGATTACTGTAGCCTAGTAGTATAGTTTGAAGTCAGGTAGCGTGATACCTCCTGCTTTGTTCTTTTGGCTTAGGATTGTCCTGGCAATGCAGGCTCTTTTTTGGTTCCATATGAACTTTAAAGTAGTTTTTTCCAATTCTGTGAAGAGAGTCCTTGGTAGCTTGATGGGGATGGCATTGAATGTATAAATTATCTTGGGCAGTATGGCCATTTTCACAATATTGATTCTTCCTACCCATGAGCATGGAATGTTCTTCCATTTATTTGTATCCTCTTTTATTTCATTGAGCAGTGGTTTGTAGTTCTCCTTGAAGAGGTCCTTCACATCCCTTGTAAGTTGGATTCCTAGGTATTTTATTCTCTTTGAAGCAATTGTGAATGGGAGTTCACTCATGATTTGGCTCTCTGTTTGTCTGTTATTGGTGTATAAGAATGCTTGTGATTTTTGCCCATTGATTTTGTATCCTGAGACTTTGCTGAAGTTGCCTATCAGCTTAAGGAGATTTTGAGCTGAGACAATGAGGTTTTCTAGATATACAATCATGTCATCTGCAAGAAATGGATAAATTCCTCAACACATACACCCTCCCAAGACTAAATCAGGAAGAAGTTGAATCTCTGAATAGACCAATAACAGGAGCTGAAATTGAGGCAATAATTAATAGCTTACCAACCAAAGAAAGTCCAGGACCAGATGGATTCAGAGCCGAATTCTACCAGAGGTACAAGGAGGAGATGGTACCATTCCTTCTGAAACTATTCCAATCAATAGAAAATCCTCCCTAACTCATTTTATGAGGCCAGCATCATCCTGATACCAAAGGCTGGCAGAGACACAACAACAAAAAAAAGAGAATTTTAGACCAATGTCCCTGATGAACATTGGTGCAAAAATGCTCAATAAAATACTGGCAAACCGAATCAAGGAGCACATCAAGAAGCTTATCCATCATGATCAAGTGGGCTTCATCCCTGGGATGCAATGCTGGTTCATCATACACAAATCAATGAACGTAATCCAGCATATAAACAGAACCAAAGACAAAAACCAAATGATTGTCTCAATAGATGCAGAAAAGGCCTTTGACAAATTCAACAACCCTTCATGCTAAAAACTCTCAATACATTAGGTATTGATGGGATGTATCTCAAAATAATAAGAGCTGTCTATGACAAACCCACTGCCAATATCATACTGAATGGACAAAAACTGGAAACATTCCCTTTGAAAACTGGCACAAGACAGGGATGCCCTCTCTCACCACTCCTATTCAACATAGTTTTTGAAGTTCTGGCCAGGAATTTCTTAATTACATTTGTGACTTTGAAGATCCACACATAAATATTAAGGACTTTTAAAAATTTGTATTCAACATATTCTGACTTTAGTCATTCTTGTACAAGCATGATTCCAAAGGCTTTTCAAATAAATACTTTGGACTGTGGCTAATAAAATAATTAAAGAGTTTTCAATAGTTAATTACTTTTGTAATTGGCTAAAAACGTTTTACGTAAATTCTATTTCTCTTTTAAATTAAGTGAAATCATAAAAAAGTATAATTTTTATTTTATGTTACTTTGTGAACCTGTCTGTGACAGAACATTTATTTTCAAATTTTATAATGCTAAATTGATTTTCAATCACGTTTTAAGACATATAATATACTTTAATCCTACTATTGCCATATTGAAACCTCCCCTATTCATGTTTTGGGCAAGTGGAACAAAAGAAATAAATTAAAGTTAATAATCTTCATTGTTTTTCACAAACCATGTTTTAATTGTTTTACAAATGTTGAGTAATGTGATTACTTCAAAGAGAAACTGAAACTGTAGATGTGTCTCTTTCATAGGAAATAAGACAAGTAGTTGTATACATTTTAAAAATAAGTATTATATACATTATTAAAAAAATATACATTCTTTTTGTGAGGAACATAAAAAAATTTACTTCAAAAAGAAGCATTAAGAATACTTAAGAAAAGTATCACCCAACACAATCAATTTGGAGAAGTAGAGAAAAAGCGAATTTGTAAATTTCTGTATATAATTCTGATTTCTCCCTGTATTTACAGAAAGTCCATGAGAAAAGTTGTTATAAATTCCGTTATATTTTAAAAATTTATCTTAGAAATTACATTTTGTGGTCACTAACTCTGCTTGTGTTTGACACTATTGTGGTACCTTTTTATATATTCAGGTTGAAAAATTATCTATGGGCAATTTCTCATGTGTACCTAAAAGCCATTAATAGATTCTCATTATTTCCTCTGAACTTGACCCATTACTTTAGTTAAAGCATGTATAATATTATGTGCAATGAACTTGATCATTAATGATTTTTACTTTTATTTGAAAGGTCTGAATGAAACAGATCATTCCTAACTCTTCATATACCTCCCCTTAGAAGGGGGTGAATTTAAAACAGTCTTGCCGTATCAAACCAGGTAATTGGGGTACAGATTTTTGAAAAACAATCAGAAATTTAGCCAGATGAAAATGAGTTTTCAGTTGAAATGGGTAAGAATGAGTAAGCAGTTAAAACAAGTTCCTAATCATTTTCATTATGAAAGAAACAAAAAGAAAGAACATAAACTTGATTATCAAATGAACAGAGGCAAAGCTAGGCCTTTATCATAGGGAGTTACATGGCAGTGCTTCTTAGAATTCTTTTTTTTCCCCAAATAAACCCTCACACACGGAACAAAGAAGCCAATGCCTTTCCTCTCATCTCTCTCCTTGTCCCTACTGTTTTTAATAATGTACGTCTGACATGCTAACAATCAAGCACATGTTCTTTCATTGTTGTCTGATCTCAGCTGTCTGATAATGGCTTAAGAGGAATGATGAGTGGAATCACACATCAAGGGTCTCCTTTGTTGACAGTATAACCAAGGGTGTATTTCCAATTTGCAGTTTGGTACTGCAGCTTTAGAAGTGCCACATTTGTTTGATATCCACTTGATGCAGTGCCATTAATCCACCAAACTCAGGGGTCAACTATCCCGACAATGTGTGAATGAGGAATCAAAGATACAGACTTTGCAGAAGTTTTTGAAAAATAAAAGAAACAGTTTGTTTCCCAGGTTTCTTTTTTTAATCTTAAGACATAAAATAATAAAATATCACTCTGCAAAAAATCTAAGCATACCATATGATATGTACATACGTTCTCTACCATCTATAGATTTGGCCTAAAAAATGTTTCATGTTTTTCATAACGAATAAAGAGTCAATCTGTTCTGTGTTTTACCATTTGGAATTAATCCAAGACCAATTATTTTACAGATTATCCTCACAAATTTTCCGCATCTCAAGCTCTTTTGGGGAAAAATACATCTTTTCAATATTTTAAACATTTTCTACTCTGAACATGTGTTACTCGAGCAATACTAAAAATTGTATTTAAAATATAAACTGAAAGATCTGGTAAAGACCTTAGAAAAGGTCTATTATTACAAATTAGAAAAGGCTTATTTATTTTGGAATATTAACTTTTCCCACTTCCAATAGTAGCCCATTGTTTTCACAAAGTTCACTCTCTGATTAACTAAAATATACTTCATAAATATTTTTTGTCGTATAAAAAATGATGATGATTAAAATTAAGTCTTTTCTGGTGGTGAAGCCATATTCACAGGTAAGATACTTGAAATTATCTATGAATATTTTGTTTTCTTAGTATACATATATGTATGTGTGTATATATATATGCATACATGTACAAAATATTTGTTACTTTCTCCTGTTTTATTTGATTAAGAATATAGAAAACAAAGTCTACAAACATACAATTCATATCCTTTCAACATTAATAATCTCTCAGAAGACTGGTGCAAATGAATACGTGTAGTTTAAATGAATTCACATTTAATTCAAACATCCCTTTTATTAAAACTGATTTTAAATTTAAGGCACATTGGCATGCAGATTTTCAGAAATACTTTTACTTGTAAAAACACACACCAAATTGTAAAGAACATCGACACTATGAAGAAACTGCATCAACTAACAGGCAAAACAACCAGCTAGCATCATAATGACAGGATCAAATTCACACATAACAATATTAACCTTAAATGTAAAAGGGTTAAATATCCCCACTTAAAAGACACAGGCTGTCAAATTGGATAAAGAGTCAAGACCCATCAGTGTCCTGTATTCAGGAGATCCATCTCATGTGCAAAGAGACACATAGGCTCAAAATAAAGGGAAGGAGGAATATTTACCAAGCAAATGGAAAGAAAAAAAAAAAGCAGGAGTTGCAATCCTAAACTCTGATAAAACAGACTTTAAACCAACAAAGATCAAAAGAGACAAAGAAAGCCATTACATAATGGTAAAGGGGCCAATGCAGCAAGAAGAGCTAACTGTCCTAAATATATATGCACCCAGTACAGGAGCACCCAGATTCATAAAGCAACTTCTTAGAGACTTAAAAGAGACATAGACTCCCACACAATAATAGTGGAAGACTTCAACACCCCACTGTTGATATTAGACGGATCAACGAGACAGAAGATTAACAAGGATATTTAGGACTTAAATTCAGCTCTGGACCAAGAGGACCTAATAGACATCTACAGAATTATCCACCCCAAATCAACAGAAGTACATGCTTCTCAGCACCTCATTGCACTTATTCTAAAATTGACCACATAATTGGAAATAAAACACTCCTCAGCAAATGCAAAAGAATGGAAGTCATAACAGTCTCTCAGACCACAGTGCAATCAAATTAGAACTCAGGATTAAGAAACTCACTCAAAACCACACAACTACATGGAAACTGAACAACCTGCTCCTGAAAGACTACTGGGTAAATAATGAAATGAAGGCAGAAATAAAGATGTTCTTTGAAACCAATAAGAACAAAGACACAAAGTACAAGAATCTGTGGGACACATTTAAAGCAGTGTGTAGAGGGAAAATTATAAGTGGGCACAAGAGAAAGTAGGAAATATCTAAAATTGACACCCTAACATCAAAATTAAAAGAACTTGGGAAGCAATAGCAAACAAATTCAAAATCTAGCAAAAGACAAGAACTAAGATTAGGGCAGAACTGAAGGAGTAGAGACACAAAAAAACCTTCAAAAAATCAATGAATCCAAGAGCTGGTTTTTTGAAAAGATCAACAAAATAGATAGACCACTAGCCAGACTAATAAACAAGAAAAGAGAGAAGAATAAAATAGATGCAATAAAAAATGATAAAGGGGATATCACCACTGATCCCACAGAAATACAAACTACCATCAGAGAATACTATCAACATTTCGCAAATAAACTGGAAAGCTTGGAAGAAATGCATAAATTCCTGGACACATACACCCTCCCAAGTCTAAACCAGGAAGAAGTTGAATCCATGAATAGACCAATAACAAGTTCTGAAATTTAGGCAGTTGTTATTAGCCTACCAACCAAAAAAAGCCCAGGATCAGAAGGATTTACAGCCGAATTCTACCAGAGGTACAAAGAGGGGCTGGCACCAGTCCTTCTTAAACAATTCCAAACAATAGAAAAAGAAGGGATCATCCCAAACTCCTTTTATGAGGTGAGCATCATCCTGATACCAAAACCTGGCAGAGACACTACAAAAAAGAAAAATTACAGACCAATATCCCTAATGAACATCGGTGCAAAAATCTTCAATAAAATAACGACAAACCGAATCCAACAGCACATCAAAAAGCTTACCCACCATGATTAAGCCGGCTTCATACCAAGGATGTAAGGCTGGTTCAACCTATGCAAATCAAAAAATGTAATCCATCACATAAACAAAACCAATGACAAAAACCACATGATTATCTCAATAGACACAGAAAAGGCCTCGACAAAATTCACCAGCCCTTCATGCTAAATACTCTCAGTAAACGAGGTATCAGTGGAACGTATCTCAAAATAATAAGAGCTATTTATGACAAACTCAAAGCCAATATCATACTGAATGGGCAAAAACTGGAAGCATTCCCTTTGAAAACTGGCACAAGACAAGAATGCCCTCTCTCACCACTCCTATTCAACAAAGTATTGGAAGTTCTGGCCAGGGCAATCAGGTGAGAGAAAGAAATAAAGGCTATTCAAATAGGAGGAGAGGAAGTCAAATTGTCTCTGTTTGCAGATGACATGATTGTATATTTAGAAAACCCCATCGTCTCAGCTCAAAATCTCCTTAAGCTGATAAGCAACTTCAGCAAAGTCTCAGGATACAAAATCAATGTGCAAAATTCACAAGCATTCTTATACACCAATAACAGACAAACAGAGAGCCAAATCATGAGTGAACTCCCATTGACAATTGCTTCAAAGAGAATAAAATACCTAGGAATCCAACTTACAAGGGACATGAAGGACCTCTTCAAGGAGAACTACAAACCACTGCTCAATGAAATAAAAGAGGACACAAACAAATGGAAGAACATTCCATGCTCATGGGTAGGAAGAGTCAGTATTGTGAAAATGGCCATACTGCCCAAGGTAATTTATAGATTTGATGCATGACTTTCTTCACAGAATTGGAAAAAACTACTTTAAAGTTCATATGGAACCAAAAAAGAGCCCACATTGCCAAGTCAATCCTAAGCCAAAAGAACAAAACTGGAGGCAGCATGCTACCTGACTTCAAACTACACTACAAGGCTACAGTAACCAAAACAGCATGGTACTGGTACCAAACAAGATATATAGACCCATGGAACAGAACAGAGGCCTCAGAAATCACACCATGCATCTACAACCATCTGATCTTTGACAGACCTGACACAAACAAGCAAAGGGGAAAGGATTCCCTATTTAATAAATGGTGTTTGGAAAACTGGCTAGCCATATGCAGAAAACTGAAACTGGACACCTTCCTTACACCTTATACAAAAACCAACTCAAGAGGGATTAAAGGCTTAAACATAAGACCTAAAACCTTAAAAATCCTAGAAGAAAACCTGGGCAATATGATTCAGGACATAGACATGGGAAAAGACTTCAGGTCTAAAATGCCAAAAGCAATGGTAACAGAAGCTGAAATAGACAAATGGGATCTAATTAACTAAAGAGCTTCTGCACAGCAAAAGAAACTATCATCAGAGTGAACAGGCAACCTACAGAATGGGAGACATTTTTTGCAATCTATCCATCTGACAGAGGGCTAATATCAAGTCTACAAAGAACTTAAACAAATTTACAAGAAAAAAACAAACAACCCCATCAAAAAGTGGGCAAACGATATGAACAGACACTTCTCAAAAGAAGACATTTTTGAAGCTGACAAACTTATGAAAAAATGCTCGTCATCACTGGTCATTATAGAAATGCAAATCAAAACCACAATGAGATACTATCTCATACCAGTTGGAATGGCCATTATTACAAAGTCAGGAAACAACAGATGCTAGAGAGGATATGGAGAAATAGGAATGCTTTTACACTGTGGGTGGGAGTGTAAATTAGTTCAACCATTGTGGAAGACAGTGTGGCGATTCCACAGGGATCTAGAACTAGAAATACTATTTGACTCAGCAATCGCATTACTGGGTATATACCCAAAGGATTATAAATCATTCTACTATAAAAACACATGCACATGTATGTTTATTGTGGCACTATTCACAATAGCAAAGACTTGGAATCAACCCAAATGTCCATCAATGATAGACTGGATAAAGAAAATGTAGCACATATACACCATGGAATACTATGCAGCATAAAAAAGGGATGAGGTCATGTCCTTTTCAGGGATATGGATGAAGCTGGAAACCATCATTCTCAGCAAACTATCACAAGAAAAGAAAACCAAACACTGTATGTTCTCACTCATAAGTGGGAGTTGAACAAGGAGAACACATGGACCCAGAGAGGGGAACATCACACACTGGGGCCTCTCAGAGGATGGGGGGCTAGGGGAGGGATAGCACTAGGAGAAATACCTAATGTAGCTGACGGGTTGATGGGTGCAGCAAACCACCGTGGCATGTGTATACCTATGTAACAAAACTGCACATTCTGCACATGTACCCCAGAACTTAAAGTATAATACAAAATTTTTTGAAAAAATATATATACAAGAAACAATAAAAAAAGAATGTCAATTGCTGAACACTATTTCTTCTTTGTTTTGCATTCTTTTTGTAACAATCTTAATCATCGTTCATCAAATCTACTTTCTTGAGATTAATAAGAAACACGGTGTTACTGAGTAGAACACAGAAGAAAAACAATAAATTTAACGTATTTCAGAATTTAACATATTTTAAACAATCTTTACTTTCACAAGTGAAAATTATGATTAAATAATAATTTAAAATAAATAAAATGTTAACGTTTCTTTTAATTAAATTAACTAATTAATAGATTTGTTTTCTCAACAAACATTTATTGACTCTTCGTATATCTCAGGTAGTGTTATTTGCACTTGAGATACATCATTGAACAAGGAAGACAAGTCTTTGCTTTATTTTGAGCTTTTTCTGGTGAACAGAGCAGGTATTATGAATTTTATTCTTTCTCATGGCTTTAAGTACTATATCTGTATGCACTATATATGTTATATATAAGTACTAATATCTACATGTTGATAACTACTATTATTCAGGGTCTAATGTAGAAAAAAGAAACCGTTGTGAGGATTCAAAAAAACTTTAGTAGAGTCAACTGATACATAGGAGATTAAAGAGCTAAGAAAAAAAAAAGAGACAATGTGGTAAACATTATGTTACAAACAGCTATACTCTTAGACCAGAGGCTCAAGGAATAGAGATAGAATTATCAAATATTAGATGCAGGGGCTCAACAGATGTAAGCTAGAATTACAGCCAGGTTATGGGGTGGGAGTCACAGAGGATATTCAGCCACTGATGACACACAAGGCAGAGGGTGACTGAGGGAAATATACTTGCTTCTCCATTCTTTCACCTTTCAATTTCTCACTAGTGCCTCCCATTGGCCAAACCCAGTCTGAGACTTGGCCAACAGTACTTAGGCCCACCTGTGAGGCAGAACAGAACAGGGAAGGCTGACAAGTGTATCTGAGGATAAACAGGATAAGACTGGCACAACTACCAAACTTCTATCTCCTATCATTATTTTTCTCCTGAAATTCAGGCACGTGTGTTCAAATGACTATGGGAGATTCTCCTTGAATATACAAAGGGCACATTATACTGCATACATAAAACATTAAATTTGATTGCTGCCACATTAACTAAACATATACCAAAAAATCTAAACTAACTAAAATGTGACCTCCTGACAGTGCCCTGATACATTAAAAACTGTATCAATTATCACAGTTGCTCAAGCATTATGGCTAGGGGTTCATCTTTTCTTCTTCTCTTACCTGTACCTCCTACTCTTAACTGTAGCTCACAGTTCATTGCACATATAAGTCCTATCTTTAAAACATTCTGGGTCACTCTACTTCTTTTAATTTTCACAGAAACACTCTAGTCTAAGTCACCATTATATTTACGCTGTTTTTTTTTAATAATTTATTTTTGGGGGAAGTTTTATGTTCACAGCAAAATTGCAAGGAAGGTACAAAGATTTCTCATTTCTCCTTGTCCCAACACATGCATAGCCTCCTTAGTTATCAGCATCCCCAACACAGTAGTACGTTTGTTATAACTGATGAACCTATGTTGACACATCATTTTCACCCAGAGTTGAAGGATTATATTAGGGTTCAGGTTTGGTGTTCATTTTATGGGTTTGACAAATATACAATAACATGCATTTACTGTTATAGTATCCTACAGAGTAGTTTCACTGCCCTAGAGATCTTCTGTGCTCTCTCTATTCATCCCTTCTTCCATCTTATCCCTGGCAACCATTAGCCTTCTCATGTCTCTGTAGCTTTGCCCTTTCCAAAATGTCACATTTTTGAAATTGTAGTTAGCCTTTCTCGTTTTTTTTTTTCACCTAGTAATATGCACTGTAGTTTTCTCCATGCCTTTCAGTGCCTTAATAGTTCATTTCTTTTTAACATTGAATAATATTCTATTGTCTGGATGTACCACAGTTTTTATCCTGTATTCCTGCAATAACTCCTGTCTGGTTGTGACAGGTTGTATTTTTCAAAAATGGCTGCATCAATATCACTTATCTTTCATGATTTTTTTGCAACGTGGCATTTCCATATCCCAATCAGGAGGTAAAATCAATTTCTCTATCCATTTGAATGTGACTGCCTTGACCAATAAGATAAAGTAAATGTAACACTGTATCAGTTTCCCACCTTTTAAAGCCATGAGCCATGTAGGAAATATACTTCCAGTAACTACCATGCTGTGAGAAAATCAAGTGGAGAGATTCTCGAGAATGAAACCAGCCACGAGGAGAGAGGGGTCAGGAAGTACTCAACACCAGATAAATGAATGAGATATCTTGGAAGTGCATCCTGCAGCCCCAGCCACTCCAACCAATTTCCACAGAAAGTACAAAGTATAGAGCTACCATAGGATTCAACATTTCCACTTTTAAATAGCTACCCAAGAGAAGTGAAAATATATATCCATATAAAAACTTGTACATGAATGTTCATGGTGGCATTATTCATAGTAGTCAAAAAGTAGAAAAGACTCAAATGCTGACTACTGAAGAATACATAAACAACATTTGGTATATCTATACATATACAATGAAATATTATTCAGCAATAAAGAGGAATGAAATACTGATATATGGTTCAACATGTACTAAACTTGAAAACATTATGCTAAGTGAAAGATATCAGTTACCAAAAAAAATATCGTATAAACTATTTCCATGAAATTTCCAGAATAGGCAGATCTACAGAGATAGAACATAGATCAATGGCTTCCTAAGGCAAATTTTGCGTGTGTGTGTGTGTGTGTGTGTGTGTTTGTGTTTGTGTGTGTGTGTGAAAATGTTCTACAATTAGATTAAAATAATAGTTTCATAAATTGGTGAATATGCTAAAAACCATTGAAGCACTTGCTTTCAATGGGGAAACTATATGGTATGTAAGTTACATGTCAGTAAAGTTGGTTAAAAAGAAAACATCGTAGTCAAATAATATCAACCCCTTCTTAAAACCCTTCCTTGCCTTTACATTCACCCAGACTAAATTTCACACTGTTATCCTAGGCCTGTAACCCTAAGAATAAATCCCTATGGGGTCACAACCTTATCTACCATACTGAATTTGCCTCCTTCAACTCTCCCCAAAGCCCACCATATTTTAGCCACGTTGACTTTTTTTTCAGGGCTTCAGATAGTCTAAATTTGTCCTCTTCTTATGGTATTCACATTATTCCTAAACCTATTCCTGGAAGACTCTTCCCTTAGGTCTCATGTTTGCATCCTCCTAGGTCTTCAGGTCTCTGCTCAAATATTAACTTTATAGGCCAGATTCACTCAGTCAAAATAGGCCCGAGTCACTTTTTTACACAATACCCTGTCTTGTCTTTATCTCACTTCTAACACTATAAAACATTATCAGATCTGTTTTATTTATTTACTTGCGATGTCTTTTTCCCCAGTAGAATCTGAGCTCCATGAGAGTTCAAATCTAATATTTTGATCATCACTTTGCAGCACCTGACTGAGTGCACAGAGTAGATGCTTGGTAAACATTTGTTCAATGAGGAGTTCTTTACACTTAATTATCTTTTTACATTTATCATCATGGAGCAAATAATAGATTTTCACAATAGTGTATGTCCCAAAGATATTTTTTGTAACCTTCACTCTCACCTTTCTCTGCTCACTGCTGAGGAATTCTCAGGCTGCCTGTAGACGAAATAGTGCTATCCAGAGATGGTGCTATATCCCGTTCTTACCTGCCTGCTTCACAAGCTGTCTCGCAGATCTCCCACTGCTACAGTAATTACAGAAATACTTTATAAACTATTTTGTAAGTATTTATGGTTTATATTTTTACAATGTATGGTATACAAAGGTGAACAATGAACACATAGCTGAGAATCAGGAAAGATAACATCTTGCTTGGATTCTGCCCTCAAAGAGGTGAAGTCACTCAACTGAGTCTGTGAAATATTGAACTTTCTTTAGATAGCTTCTGAAATTTCCTTCTGTTCCAACGTCAAATAAATTAGGCTACAGGAGCAATACCAATATGCCAACATTAAGAAGTCCTAGGTGTATGCCTTGGGATTGTGTTTGATCTAATCTAAGTGCCTCCTCGGTTTGTTTGTGATGATTTTCTACTTTATTCGCCACACTCATGAGAAATTTCATGTGCTGAGCTGATTCACAACCTCGTGGCACTCCCTGGCCAGGCTAGTTTGGCTCAATCTTACAGGTGATGCTGGAGGCATTTTGTCATGTCACCTCCTCCATTCCACTCCTGCTCTGAGGCTACCCGTCAGCATAAAAAGAAACAGCTCAGCACTGGCTCAACGGACCAAGCATGAGAGTCTGTAAGCTGCATGTGGTTGAGATGAGAATGTCTCTTCTTGATCATTCTGCAAGACCTTGTGCATTCCTCATACAGTGTTATGTTAGTTTGCAATTATTGGCTTACTTGTCTCCCTCTCTTAGAGAACTAGGACAATGATTTGCTTAATGTAATGACATTTTTATCACAGTATCTGGAATAAAATAAGTGATAAGATAATAGAAGATTTTATTGAGTGCTTATTAATATCAGGTATCATACTAAATGTTTTCATCTTTACAATAACCCTGTGAAGTAATTTCTATTTGTCCTTCATATTACAGATGATAAAATAAAAACCCAGAGAGAAGATGTCATTCGCCTAATGTCACACATTTCACATGAGGCAAGCTGAGATTTCAATACAGAGAGTCTAACTGCAGGCCCATTAAGTACTATGTTATAGTGCATTCTAAGTGTAGAATGAATTAATAAAATAAATTTTTAGGATTCAGTGCTCCAAGGTGGTTAAATTAAATGTAATTCAGACAAGCTTTGACTTTCCAACTTAATAGCTGTATGAATTTCAGTAAATTGTCTCACTTTTCTGTACCCCTTTATCTTTATTGCTAATATGTGGGAAAATGGTACATCCTCCTTTTAGGACTAAATGAGATAACTTTTATAAAGCATCATGCTTACCAGAAGTGGTACGCAGAGAGTGATTGTATTTGTTGAAAGAAGTATAATAAATAGCTGCATTGCTCTTTATAAGCTTAGTTATTCTATGTTAAAACACCAATGCTTCAGTTGCTTAAAACAAAAAGTTTATTTCTTACTCCATCATAGGACTCAGGCTGATGGAATATCTACCAACTGGAATATTACAGGTCACCAAGAGAGAAAGAAGAGAAGATAAAACATTAAAGATCAACTTTTAAGTGTTTGCTCCCTGGAAAAGGCATATATCGTTTCTATTCATGTATCTGACTATTAATGTCACATAGCCTTGTCTGTCATCAAGAGATTGGCTAAGTTTCAATCCTATCATGTTCTTGGAAGAAGAAAATTAGAATTATTAGTAAATTGTAATATTTATTACAGTAGTCAACATATATTTACTATTTTTTATTTTCGTCATGCCTATTATTTAAAAAAGATCCTATACAACTGAATTGTTAGAGATGTATACCCAATTCAGTTCAACGTAGAAATCAGTTCTGAACTCATTCTCATGTCCAAGACACTAGGCTTACCTAAATCAGAGAGTTCTGATGCTCAAGATGCTTATAATAAAACGACAGAGACTGTCATGTATAAATTTGATGTTGGGAATACAATGTAAGTTGAAAGGATGATTTCATAAATAAATAACCTCGAGTCAAAAAAATGCAGTAATAAATTCTAACTGAAAAAAAAAAAGAAAGATCTACACACAAATGACATCCCAGGTAAAATATACTAGATAACAGTGATGCGTTAGAGAAAGATGGGGGAGATGAGGAAGTCTCATCCAGAGGAAAGATAAAGGCAAAGGCCAAGTAGTGCTTCACAACCAGAATTGAGCCCAGGTTGAAGTGTGTAAACTTCGGAAAATGGGGCTAGCCCTCACTGAGGACTGTGCTTACCATGCTAAGGGGGTCAGTCTTTATTCTTTGGGAACTGGAGAACCAACTGAGTTTTAGATCAGAGACATGGGTGATTAGACTTTTATTTTAGAGAGAAGGATGTGTGATTGTAATTTTTTGCCTCCTGGAGGAAAGTGGAAAGAAAATTCTGGATATAGGAGTACCAAGAATAATTTCCTCCAAAAGTATGAGAAGATACATTGGAAATGGAAAAGAGAGGTATCAAAGACAGATATAAAAGACAGTGGAACCATCACACCCAATAAAATAGGAAGCACTAGAGTGTAATGGTCAAGAAAAGAACAACAAGTTGAATATGGCATTAGGATTCTTTTAGTACAGAATAAATTACTGCTAGTAGCAATAATTGAGGACCACAAAAAGAAAGGTGTTGTAGCAAAGAAATAGGTTTGACTTGCAAAATATGAGATACAGGAGTTTGTAGGAGTTTCACGTGGTGCTGTTTAGTAATTAGACAGAGGTCCTAGCACACACTATAAAGACCAGAAGCACAGAAAGAACAGAAGAGCCAAGGAGAGAGGACGTGTGTGTGTGTGTGTGTGTGTGTGTGTGTGTGTGTGTGTAGAAGTGTATGGCAAATTGTGTAAAATGCTGGGCAACGTGGCAATTTAAGAAATCATTGGCAAATTTTTAGTTTATCCTTAGATGAATAGTGAGGGCAGAAGCCAGCACGCAGTGAAAAGACTAGAGGAGTAAATTGGAGATGATGAAGTGGATTATGAATTCAAGAAATTTGGCAGAAAGAGAAGAGTTATCACATTACCCCACTGCTCTAAGCCCTCCAGTCATTTCCAATCTTACTCCACATGAAATATGAAGTTTTTATCATGGACTACAAACCTCAACATCATCTGGAAGTTTCTGAACTCATATCCTGCACTCCCCTCAAGATCCCCTACAGCTAATACTGCTGTAGCCACATGGGAATCCTGGCTGTTTCTTGAACAAAATGCAAGACTTCCCATTGTCTCAGGCTTTTTCATTTGGAATTCTGTTAATTCCCCCAGTTATTCACATGCACTCCGTTGGTTCTTTCTGATAAACATCATCTTAACAAATGGACTATACGTGCTCACATGATTTAAAAATAACCTGATCCTTTTTATCACTAATTATCCTTCCTTGCTCTTCCTTTTTTAATACTTATTACAACTTGACATATTAAAAATGCATGTTTTTGTATCCTTCCCTGTCCTCTACCACCCCCAGAATGTAAGCTATAGTAGAGCAGGAATTTCCTTTCTTTTGACCAATGCTATATTTCTAGGACCTAGAATAGTGTCTAGCAGATACTAGTTTTTCAATAATTAATTGTTAAATGCATGAAGAATGATATGGAGCTGTACTTAAAAGAATTCATAACATAAAGAATTTTCTTCGTTGAAGTGAATCTTAAGACTATCTCTGGGGAGAAAGGACAAATATGGAGGAGCAGATTGGTGACTCCTTGAAAGGAGATTGGTTGTAAATAGGCTATGGAGCAATGTTCTGAAAGGAGAAGAGTATTGAATCATTTCAACAGGTCAGGGATAAATCTCAGAAAAAAGTAGAATACTTCCTTCTGAATCTAAAGAAAGGAATAAATGCATTGAAATAAAAATAACATCGAGGAATGAATTTGAAACCATTTATTCTTAAACTGAGAAATAGAATTCAAGAATTCTGAGACAGACCAGCAGAAAAAGTAAGGGAGAAGCTTGAGAAGGTCCAGGAATGGGGACTTTAGACATATTTCCTAGGGTGGAAAGAGACGGCTTCTACATTTCCTGAAAGTGAGCCGAGGGCAGAGTTCTCCCCATCTTCATCTAGTTTTGCAAATTGTTGCTAATGTAATACTCTTTCCAGAACAAAGCCACCTGTACCATTTAGAATGAATACTTTATTCTACTAAAATCTTCAGGTTTAGTCTAATTTTCTGAGATAAATAGGCTAATATGGGATGTCCTATACTGAAATTAATACACACACGTACACATACAAACACACATATATATACACACATATCTTGATTCTTGCATATATATGTACATACATATATGTTTATATTTGTGTAAATGTACATAAGTATTTAAATATACATGTGTATATGTATATAGATCTTTAATATAGCCAATGAATTTCCTGCTTTTTATGTTTTCTTAGAATTGTCTAGTGAACTTTCAAGTATCTAGTATCTTTCTCTCTTGAAACTGTATTTTCCACTTCATTCCTGACAGAAGCCATCATCATCTGTTCAGAATGGTAACTGTTATTTAACCTTTAATGGGAAAAACTACAAAATATTTATCCTCCTCTGATAATCCAGCTGCTTGAATAGATGTTGGCATTTCTTTTTACTGTTCTGGCATCAGAAAGCCAGTGATAACATCACTTTTTTTGTATCTATAAAGAAATCCATGCATATTGAAAGGGAGAACATAGAGCAAAGAACATGAAAACTACCTGTGATTTTACAACCCAGTGTAATCGCTTGGTAATTTTAAAAGTGTTTTTTTAACCTATTTATCTCCATATATTTATAAGTATTCCAACTAATACTATGTTTAATTCTACAGTTTGATTTTTTTTCACATTTTCTATCATTAGCAATTTGGCAACTAATTGAATGCTCTTTAGAACATTATAAATTTCTAATAGCTATATAATACTCTGTCATATGGTATTTATTTAACCATTGTTCTATTTGGAATTTCTTCAATTTTTATTTTCCATTATTAACACTACCACAAAAAAATTCTACATAAATTCTTTATTTCAGGTCATGTATCTTAAAATTCTTTAAAATGTTATTGTTTCTGTGAAGAATTATAATTATAGCTGCTGCTAGAGTTTCATTTTTAAACCAATATTTCAGACACAACATGAAATACTAATACATAATTCTGAATTTATATTTTCGTAATTATAATGTCTGAGAGGTTTCCATTTTGGGTTGTTACATTATCTTACCTAAGTATTCACAGTTGTGAATTTTCATGAATTTGTGCTCTAAAGCTGTTTGTATTGTGCATTTGTTAAGCTTACTTAAATTAAAAAATGTTGTGCCATATGCCTTCTTGGATATACTATATTAGAATTGGCACTAAATTTAGTATTTGTATCAAACTTTTTATGATCACCATGAGAAACTACATTATTTTAATTTTGTTGAAAATAGCAAATGACATTGTCATCAAGATCAATATTTGGATACTGGGAGTTACCTTAAAAATTGTTTTATTTAAACCTCAGTGGATTTTTTGCATCAAAATATTCCCTGGTAGTATTAAAGCAGACATTATAAAGTCTTTAAGAATATGCTTCATAAAAAATAGTTATGTGAAGGATTTCTTCCTCCCTGGGCAGAAATATCCTTCCTCGTTGCATTTCAAGAGCTCTTTCTTTTTGTTGTTATTGTTCCAGGAACATAAGTGCTCCTGAGTGAATGGGTAATGTTAGTTGAGAGAAGGGCATAGAAGAGGATAAATCTCAGTGTTTCTATTTGGAATTCATCGATGACATCTGCTGATGTTCAAGGCAGACCAAGTTGCTTAAAATGCAAACTTTTTGCTGTTCCCACCACAATCAATATTGCACATCTTTCATACTTTAAAAGCATATTTTACTGTAAATCTTCAAACATTCCTTAGGTGATAAATGGCAGGCTTTTAGAGATCAGGTCATTTCAACTAAGATGGCAACTATATTTCTAAGATTCCGTTCTCTTTAAGATAAAATGGACTTTCTCTCTGATATAATAACAAGAAAAGAAAGGAAGACTTACCACCATTCTTACCCCTTTTGCTGCAAAATCATAGAATGACATACAGACAGTGTTTAGTTTCATTTGTTTGTTTGTTTCCTATTGGGATTTAAAATGTTCTTCTTCGAAAATTGCAGTGTGAAGAAAAGAAAGCTTTTTTAAAAAATATGGTACTTTCTCTTGGATCTTTTATGTTTTAGCTGAAGGCCATTGTAGAAAGCTTACTAAATCCCATATTTTTCTCTGGGGAAACACTCTGTATCCAGCCAAAATCTCCAACAGGCAAATTTATATATATATAAATTACAGTGATATAATTTTTTTAAAAAAGATCATCTTTGGAAAGGGGACATAGAATTTCTATTCCTGTCACATCAGAACTGAGCTGCTGTTCACCAAGTAACAAATTTTATTTTTGCAGATTTGGGGTTGAAAAAGTGAGGGAAATAAATAAAGTAGCTTGAGTAATGATTCAAGAAAACTGTAATCTAACACTTTTAAAAATTGGTTTGTACTGAGTGGAGCTCAAAAATTAGTGGGAATGTCAAATGTTCTAACCATCCTCAGCTTTGTAAAAATAGAGACTTGAATTAGCTATAGGAGTCATTTATTTTTCATTTGTTCATTTTATTTCTTCTAAAGATATGATATCTAATTACAGGAGATATATATAAAGATGAAAGACACTGTGTTTTCTGGGATCTCATATGACTGCTTTTCTTGAAGTGGATGTTATTTTTGGCTTTAAGTTGAAGGAAGAGGATGATAATAGAGGGTATATCATGGTAGCCAACACCTTGACTATTGGTATCAAATGATTTTTTTAATCTATTAACAATAGCCAAGATATGGAAGCGACTTAAGGGTCCATCAACAGATGAATGGGTAAATAAAATGTGATATCTATACAATAAAATATTACTGAGTCATAAAAAATAATGAAATTCTGTAATTTACAATAACATGGGTAGAACTAGAGGCTATTATGTTAAGTGAAATAAGCCAGGCACAGAAAGACAAATATCGCATGTTCTCACTCATACATGATAGCTTAAAAAATTGATCTCATGGAGGTAGCGAGTAGAATGATGATTACCAGAAGCTCAGTAGAGCAGTGAGGACGGGGTATATAAAGGGTTGGTTAATGAGCACAAACACAGTTTGATAAAAGAAATAAGACCTAGTGTTTGATAGATAATAGGGTGACTATGGTTTACAATAATCTGTTGTATATTTCAAAATGACTACAGGGTCAGATTTGGAATGTTCCCAACACAAAGAAATAATACATTTTTAAGGTAGAATATCTCAATTACCCTGACTTTTTTATTACACACGGTATTTTTTAGCGAAATAACACATGCATCCCATAAATATGTACAACTATTATATAACCATCAAAAATCAAAAATTTAAAATTTAAAAGTTTAAAATTAAAATAAGATGATTTTGAGATGACGCCAAAACAACAAATAGAGAAAATATAGTCTTTTCAACAAATGATATTAGGACAACTGGTTATCCATATGCAAAAGAATTAAGTTGGGTCTCCTCCTTATACCATAACCCCCGCCTAAAATAATAACAGATCCACATGTATAGCCAAAACTATAAAAGTCTTAGAAGCCCATGATTTCTCAAAAATAAGTAATGGAAGTGGAAGTACACATTGAGGGCTATGCTACGATGGCTGCAATAAAAAAGACAAACAATAATAAATCCTGGGGAGGATGTAGAGAAACTCAAACTCTCATCAATTGTTGATAAAATATGTAAAATGATGTAGCATCTTTGGAAAATGTTTTTCAGTTCCTCAAAAAGTTAATCATTGGGTTATGATACGGCCCAGCAACTTCACTTCTAAGTACATATCCAAAGGGAATGAAAATATAAATCTGCAGAAAAACTTGTACATAAATGTTTCTAGCAGCATCATTCCTAATAGCCAAAAAGTGGAACCAACCCCAGTGTTTATGCCAGCAGAAGAATTGATAAATAAAATGCAATATATACTAGAACAGAATATTATTAGTCAATAAAAAGAAATGAAATAATAATGTATGCTACACCAAAGATGACAACAAAAGAAAGACTTTTCAACAAGTAGTGCTAAAACAACTGAATATCCATATTGGGAAAAAAGTGAACATTTTACTTCACACCATACGTAAAAATTAGCTTTAATCAGATATTTAAACAGAAAAAACTAGAATTTCAAAAACCCAGGAAAAAAAAAAGAACACTTTGACACTTTAAAACAAAGATTGCTTAGATAGGACACAAAAGCACAATACATGCAAAAATATGTAAACTGGACTTTATCAAAATGAAAAACTTATGTCTTAAAACACAACATTAGAACAATAAAGAGGTAAACCAAAGGATGAAAGAAAATGTTCCTAATATATTTATCTTACAAAAAATTATATTCAGAAAATATAATTAATCTTTCTGATGCAATAATATGCAGACAACCAATTCAAAAATAAAGTGAAAGCTTTGAGAGGCTATCACAAAGAAAGCTATACAAATGATGAACAGCACATGAAAAATTGTACGACACTATTAATAATAAGGTAAAATGCAAATGAAAACCAAAATGAGACACCACTATTCACCAATAGAATGGCTAAAATTAAAAGGTCAAATATAGACAAGAGTACAAGAGTTGGAACAACTGGCTTTTGCATACTACACTGCTATTACAAAATCAAAATTAAAAAATATATATTTAAAGCATTAATACAATTAGTGTATAATCTAGCCATTTCATTTCTTGGTATTTACCCAATAAGAATGAAAATAAATATTTACAAAAATGCTTGTATGTGAATTTCTGTAGCACTTTTATTCATAAAACGCAAAAACTAGAAAAAATGTGAAATATCATCCAGAGGTGAAAAATATGCTATATTTCTACAATGGAACATTTCTCAGCAATACAAAGAAATGAACTCCTGATATGTACCAACAACATGAATGAATCTGAAATTCGTGTTTCTGCATGCAAAAATACACAATAATATATACTATAAGATTTTGTTCAATTAAAAGTCTGGAAAAACCAAGCTAATGGATAGTAACAGTGGTTGCCTGGGATTGTAAACAGACATAAGAAAACTTCCCGTCACAATGGAAACTTTCTGCATCCTGATTGTAGTGGGGGTTTCATGAGTGTACATATCTATCAAAATTCAAGTCACTTACAGTTTAAATGGATGCAATTGTGTGAAAATTATAAGTAAATGAAGGCTAATTTTAAAATGGAAATAAATAAATTGTCAAAGTATAGTATGTCCACAGGACTAAATGTTCATATAACCGTAAAAATGATTTTAAAATGTTGGTAATATATATTTAAATGTGATAAAATGAATAGCTAATGGATGTTAGTTTGTCTAGGTGGACCAAAACTGTAAATCTATACATGCAAAACAACAAACAAAAAGAAAATACATCTCTTTCAGGAAGTTTTTTCTAATTTTGGAAAATCCTAAACATTGCATATATAGAAGAAATGTGTATTTTGTTCTAAAACTATTTTTTTAAATAGCAAAAACTTTATTGAATACCCATACTATACATTAAGAATACAATCATTAGAAACAATATTTTAGGAGCCAAAAATGATATATACATCAATGTAATCAATATTTAATTTTTCTTTTTTTTTTAGATGGGGTCTTACTGTGTTGCCCAGGCTGGAATGCAGTGGCACAATCTCAGCTCACTGCAACCTCTGCCTCCCGGGCTTCAAGTGATTCTCCTGCCTCAACCTCCTGAGTAGCTGGGACTACAGGCGCATGCCACCATGCCCGGCTAATTTTTTTTTAAATTATACTTTAAGTTCTAGGGTACATGTGCACAACGTGAAGGTTTGTTACATACGTATACATGTGCCATGTTGGTGTGCTGCACCCATTAACTCGTCATTTACATTAGGTATATCTCCTAATGCTATCCCTTCCCCCTCCCCGCACCCCACAACAGGCCCTGGTGTGTGGTGTTCCCCTTCCTGTGTCCATGTGTTCTCATTGTTCAATTCCCACCTATGAGTGAGAACATGCGATGTTTGATTTTTTGTCCTTGCGATAGTTTGCTGAGAATGATGGTTTCCAGCTTCATCCATGTCCCTACAAAGGACATGAACTCATCATTTTTTACGGCTGCATAGTATTCCATGGTGTATATGTGCCACATTTTCTTAATCCAGTCTATCATTGATAGACATTTGGGTTGGTCCCAAGTCTTTGCTATTGTGAATAGTGCCGCAATAAACATACATGTGCATGTGTCTTTATAGCAGCATGATTTATAATTCTTTGGGTATATACCCAGTAATGGGATGGCTGGGTCAAATGGTATTTCTAGTTCTAGGTCCTTGAGGAATCACCACACTGACTTCTACAATGGTTGAACTAGTTTACAGTCCCACCAACAGTGTAAAAGTGTTCCTATTTTTCCACATCCTCTCCAGCACCTGTTTCCTGACTTTTTAATGATTGCCATTCTAACTGGTGTGAGATGGTATCTCATTGTGGTTTTGATTTGCATTTCTCTGATGGCCAGTGATGATGAGCATTTTTTAATGTGTCTGTTGGCTGCATAAATGTCTTCTTTTGAGAAGTGTCTGTTCATATCATTTGCCCACTTTTTGATGGGGTTGTTGGTTTTTTTTCTTGTAAATTTGTTTGAGTTCTTTGTAGATTCTGGATATTAGCCCTTTGTCAGATGAGTAGATTGCACAAATTTTCTCCCATTCTGTAGGTTGCCTGTTCACTCTGTGTTAGTTTCTTTTGCTGTGCAGAAGCTCTTTAGTTTCATTAGATCCCATTTGTCAATTTTGGCTTTTGTTGGCATTGCTTTTGGTGTTTTAGACATGAAGTCCTTGCCCATGCCTCTGTCCTGAATGGTATTGCCTAGGTTTTCTTCTAGAGTTTTTATGGTTTTAGGTCTAACATTTAAGTCTTTAATCCATCTTGAATTAATTTTTGTATAAGGTGTAAGGATGGGATCCAGTTTCAGCTTTCTACATATGGCTAGCCAGTTTTCCCAGCACCTTTTATTAAACAGGGAATCCTTTCCCCATTTCTTGTTTTTGTGAGGTTTGTCAAAGATTGGATAGTTGTAGATGTGTGGTATTATTTCTGACGGCTCTATTTTTATGAAATGTTGAGTGAGAAAGGTAGTAGGATTGGAGAATACTCAGGGAATTTCTATGTCCCATTTCATTATTACTAAGCTGGATCCTATTTCTTCTAAAGAGGCTCTTCTAATGAGCTGCCTGCCTTGCTTCTTGGGAGTCAGATGGGTAGCAGGCAACCAGTTAACTTAGGCATTTCTTACTAAGTTGGTAGTATTTGAAGTGGTTTTAAAGAGGAAAAGCAGGCAAAATACATAATAATGGCCATATACATTGAAGGGGCAAGTAAGTATACTACTGTTGAGATACTAAAACCAATTATATAATTTTCTACTTCAAATAAGTATGATGGTGTAGTACCCTAAAAGATATTTGTTTTTCCATTTCCTTTCTATATAAAAAATGTTTTAGAGTTAAAGAGGACTGTATAAGTCATAGGCCATAAAAACTTACTTTTAAGATTAAGACACTGGGACCTCAGGGGCTTTTGCTCAAGATCATACACCTAGTTTGGACAGAACTGAGACAGATACTTATCAGAACTTGGTTACTTTTATGAAAGCATAGGTCTCATTAGTCTTTGGGACCATACTGAATTAATTTTAAATGAACTTTTGTGTTTTTATTTCACTCAAAAAGCCTGGGTGAGTGTAAATTTTTAATCCATATCTTGCACATCTTTTAATTTCTGGATTACAGGAAATATCAAATTATAAAATTATCATTTGATGACTAAGATTTATATTTACATTTAAAATGTAACCTTCTTTTTAAAGTTCTTATTTAGATTAGATAACTGCAATCACTGTAAAATCATATCTAAAGTATATGGCCTGACTGTCACCACAGCAACCATATACTCAAATCAATTGGACCCGTAAAATATAATAGAAATAAAAAAATCCTTTTTCACTTTAGACTCTACATTACTCCATCTTTTCTTTCTAGTGGTATAATTTTATAATATGACAAATAATAATTTATCTTTGATATTCACTATAGAACAAAAATCTAAAGAGCTTTTTTGTGTGTTCACATGTTGCTTAAAATGTCGATATTGACATTCCCATCACTGCATTCAAGTGATTATCATCATTCCCTTCACCAAACATGTTGTTCTTAAATGTCTTTGGAGTTCATTCACTGTACAAAATTACTCTGATTGGAGTGAGCTTGTAGGTTCTGATCAATGATGACAATTGTATGTATTTCCTACTAAATAAAATGCCAATGTCTTCATAGTATTTTAGATATCTTTTTAAACAATGGAACTTTGCAGACAAGTTATAGCTGATGAAATCTATGAAATTATAGCTAATATTTTATTGTTTTCACAAGTCTAAAATTAAATGTTGATTTTGATAAGACACATAATTTTAGTAAGGGATTATAGGATCTTTATATATACATAGTAGGTGGTCTTGGATATTTAATTCCATGATATATGTTTTAACATCTTGCTAGTAAGGTAATTTTTTCCCCTCTAATTGAAGCAAGGCCTCACTTGAAATTACCATTCACTGGTCTTTCCACAAAAATAGGTAAGTGGAATATGTAAATTACAGTTTTCCCCATGGAAATATCTTGGAATTCCATTTTCTGGTATAAGTATCTTTGAAGATGTATATCTGATATGCTGGTTCAACCCCCTAAATAATAGATACACCCTCTTTCAATTTTCCAAATTAATGTTTTTTATATTATATACATTTGGTCCAGGTTAGCTGCTTTTAAATATCTAGTAAGAGATATTAATTAATAATATAATTCCAAATAGCAAATAAATATATTTTAAGAATCAGTGTATTCTTTTAATCTCTACCTTTAATTCATGCTTTTTAAGTTTTAATTTTAACATATTAGATTTCTGAAAATTTAAAACCTCTTAAAGAAAATGTAGTTCTTCAAAACCAAATTACCATTTTTAGGAATATGGCTTAAGTCAAAGATGCTAAGGTGATAACTATCAAGGAGTGGAGTGTCAGTGTTTGTTAAACTTCGTATTATCTCATTGGTTTTTACTTTCACGTACTTTTCCTTTGCTGTCATTATTTGCATAGAAGAAAAATACAAGATCACTAAGGATTAGAAAACATTACTCCACATAAATCACTAATAAAATGCATCTATTAATCTCTAAATGTGGCCTGTTATCTAAATAGCTTTAAAGAGGCCATGCCTTCTGTATGTTCTGAGCTTGAACATTTACTCTCATCATTATTTCTTGTTCTAGCTGCTGCCGATTGTTGCTTAATTACCCTGCCCAGCTTTTCTCTGGAAGTCATTAGCAAGCAGTAATACAGACATCTACATTTTTAGCCTTCTTCCCAAAATATAGAAAGCTGTGATTCTCCATAAGGTAGCAAGTTCAGATAAAAAAATTTGCTCTTAAGAAGACCTCTTGAAAAATTACAAATAATGAGATCATGTAGGAATTTCTAAATAGTTATTAAATGTTCATACATGGAGTAAGGTGATAGAAAGGGGTATCTTGATCAGCTAGATTGAATCATCGTGTCTGTCACATAAGATTATATTTACCCTACTTATCCAAGAGTTTATTGCTTTCTAGAGACTTCGTGATTGAGCAAAAATAGCCATTAGAATTTATTTTCAATGTTAGGATAATTTGGGGGATATTATTAATCTTCTACAACCATAATTTACTTCAGCCTTTTTCTTTTCCCATTTTAATTTTTTCTATTTATTTTATTGCAGTAGAACTTGGTGAAAGATGTTTCCAGATTTCCAAGTCCTAAAATTTCTTTGAAGAACTCCTCCAGAGTTGTAGGTCTTACTGAAACATCATTTACTGTTTTTTGTTTTGGACTGCAATGCTCCCTAAAGCATAGAGGCATACAAGGAAATAAAGACTCATTTTTCCAAGTTGGGAAACCTCTCTAATGTTCAGAAGCTGTCTGTTAAACAGGCTAAGTTCTGTTTTTAGCCCTACTACAAATATTTCCTTCAACCAAAGCCCTGTTGATTCATAAGTTACTGAATAACTGAATATAAAATTGTTGATGAAGGGGCTAGTTTGCTTTTTTACCTCACAAATAATGCATTACTTTTTTTCTAAATTATTTCCTATAATCTTTAAGACTGATGAAATGCAATTGGCTGTAAAAGGGTATTCAGATAATTTTAAATTGATGAGCAGAACAAATTAAACTCATAAAAGACTATATAATAGATACGAGCTGACCCATGAATGGGTAGAGCCACATAAAGAGAGCTGTGTGGCACTATCTTTCCCTGTTATGTGCTTGTCCTGAGGACACATAAGGACTTTAAGTCTCACAGCTACACACAAGACTCTCTCTATAAATCAGATATTATATGTGTTTCCCTGCACACTGAGTTATTTTCTTTATTTAAAAAACTATTGCTACTCTGTTGAATATTTATGCTCCTAAAATGAATACCACTTACATGTGGCACAATTAATTAAAAATAGAAATGAAAACTTGTGGAGATTAAGCAGTTTATTTAGTAAAGACTTTATTTTTCAGAGCAGTTTGAGGTGTACAACAAAATTAAGAGGAAAATACAGAGATTTCCCATATACCTCCTGCCCTCACACACGCATAGCCTCCTGCATTATCAGCACCTCCCAACAGAGTGGTACACTTGTTACAACTGATGAACCTACATCCACACATCACTTCACCCAAAGTCCATAGTTTACAATAGGGTATATTCTATGGGTTTGGACACATTTATAGTGATACACAGCTATCATTATAATATCATGCAGTATTTTCTCTGCCCTCAAAAACCTCTGTAGTCCCTTTATTCACTCCTTCCCCATTAAATAGCTTTTGTGAAGGAAGTCAAAAAATTGAAATTTGTCTGCATATAATGATTATTTCTGGAGCCATTTAAAATGTTCATATAAAACCATTAACTCCTTTATTATTTATGCAAGCATGTGGCCTAGGCTCTCTGTCTGTGTGATTTGATTTGCTGGAAGCTTAGTAGTATAAGAATGTCCTCCTTCTTGTTCTGGGAAAAAAAATCCACAAAATAAAATATTGCTTTTTAAGGATTTTAAATTTCAAAAACTAAAACTAAAGAGATGTAATAATCTTACACATTGAAAATAATTTACATTATTTTGTTCAATTGTAATTTTGTTTCGCTTTCTTCACTCTTTAAATTTCTTTATATAAAATCAATTTATTATGAATGATAAATAAGTTAACATAAAGTTTGTTAAATAAATTAAAACAACAAACAGAAATATTTTGTCATTTATTTATTGATTACCCTGAGGATAATTTTTGACTATTTCTCTCTAGGGTCAATAGTTTATGTAAACAGTCCCTTAACATTGTTTGGTCAACCAGTTGTCTATGTTTTAAAGGAGAGTATATGATTTCTGCTTTAATCTTTCATCAAAATGCAAGAAATGTATTAATTTATTGAAATATAATTGAATAATTATTATTAACACATTACTATGTGATTAACTTATTTTGCTAAATTTTCTGGGCTATGTTAAACTGTTTGAAAGGGAAAATTAAAGAAGTAAGTGAATAGGTAGGGTGTTGAAATCTGGTGTAAAATTAAACCAAAAGAAGACAAAACATAACTATAAAAAATAAAACTTTATTATCATAAATAATAATTACATTTTCACTCATTCACCCAATATTGATTATAGACCTACTATGTGCCAGACACAGTTCTAGATGCTGGGAATACAACAGTGAGCAAAGCAGACCACAATCACTGCTCCCCTGGCACTTAATTCCAGAGTGTTTGGATGAAGACATTCTTTGGCAGGATCAGAATTTGGTCACAGGTGGTCTGTAAGGCTACTTAGCATTCATGAGTTATCCTTATATTTCTAACAAAATAGTATTCTGCACTTCACTGCTCTCATCATAATACAACATTGTTTTTCTTATGTTTGGCATATTACTCCATAAATGAAGGATAACCAGCAACCCATGACATATAATGCTGACTTACAATATTGTTAAACAATAACATTGTTAGATACTGTAGAAGTTATGCTTCTGATGAACATTAAAAATAGATGACTGCAAGTTTTTATAGTAGATACAGAATATAGATTTATTTTTTCTACATTAGGCATGTTCTTCTCCAAAGAAGATCATCCTTACAAAGATTTTATATATATATATATATATATATATTTATTATTATTATTAAAGTTCTAGGGTACATGTGCACAACGTGCAGGTTTGTTACATATATATACATGTGACATGTTGGTGTGCTGCACCCATTAACTCGTCATTTACATTAGGTATATCTCCTAATGCTATCCCTCCCCCCTCCCCCACCCTACAACAGGCCCCGGTGTGTGATGTTCCCCTTCCTGTGTCCAAGTGTTCTCATATTACAAAGATTTTTTATGCACTATTCAAACAGTGCATCATGTCTCTTCTGAAAATCACACTAGGGTACATCACTTTTACTGAAGGGAGCAAGACACATTCCACAGGAATGTCAGGTATGCTGCTGCCCAAAAAGGTTTAGGACATTTGGTCTATCCATTTTTCTCTTGATCTTCCTTGAAGCTTATACCTTTAAATAAAAGTGCTAAAAATAATTCAGTTTTTTCTATAGTTGTTGCTTTCCACAATACCTTTGTGAAGGCGAGCCCCTGTCTTCCCTCTGCCCCAGACACTAAAGGGACTTCTTAAGACAACTATTCATTGTAGTGATCCTGTTTTTTAAATGTCAATTTTATCATATTTCCTTACCTTTTACTGCAAATTTTACAGAGACACTTTTTTTTTTTTTTTTAGGAAATATCTGGAATATACGTTAAATCTTACACTCCTGCCATTCTCATGAACATTTTCATGGGGAAATTAAATGAGGAAACACTGCATATAAAGAAGAAAGATTTAAAAATAAAGAAAATGTGCCACTTATCTAAACACTCTTTAGTGTGGAAATGGGTAGATTTATCTGAACAGGAAATCAAATGTGACAATGTGACACCTTTTCTTGATTCCTCAGGGCTATAATGAACTAATCATACAGTCCAGATAAGGTAAATACGAGGTGATGTAATTAGTTAAAACTCACAGATGTACACATGCATTCATACCCTTCTTAATTACTACTAATCAGGAAATTAATTAAACTGAACCTAAAAATAAAATTGTGCTTATTCCTGTGAAGGCCTCTATGTCAATGAACCGCCTCAATAAACAGATCTAAATACCCTAATCTTCAGCCGCAGAGGCTGCTGCCTCTTTAGAGCCCTCTAGTGGAGAGCACGGCTTATAGCAGTGCCCTATGCCGGCGACTTGACAATAAAAAAATCTTTCATGAAATCGAGGGAAGTGAGGACTGGTATGTGACTCTATTCCTTCATTTGTTTAGATGTGATGATACCACCCAACAGACAGACTTCCTGCATGTGGACTTGTAAATGTATTCCACCTTTTTTACTCTAAGGTGAATTGAAAAACATCCAAGTTTTCAGTTGAGGCTTTACTTGTACATATGTTTCAAAAAAAATTACTGAATATTTGAGATGCTTAATTAAATCATAGGAATTGCAAAATAAATGCATCTTAAATAAGAATATAAAACGAAAATTTTGAATCCCTTCATTGCCATGATTAAAAATTGAATGAGGGCATACTCATTTTTCTAGAAAACTGTATCACTGTATTTGTAATTATTTTTAAGTATTTTAGGTGCAATCTCCCTTACTTTGATTTATTTTTCAAACTGAGTTAATTCTGAGTTTCAATCATCTTTGTAAAACCTGTAATTTTGTGTGTAAATAAACCATATTTGGATAGTAAAAACCCAGAGTTAGAAACGGAAATAGCTTCCATTTAACTTGGGAAATATTGCATGGATAAAGATGATTGACATTAAGATGTGGACTACCTGCCACACTTTAAATTATTTATCATTATTTAACCACTGTATTGATGTGACATAATAGGGATCACTGACCCACAGCATAGTCTAGGAGACAAATTGGAAAAGCAGGTGAGGTTATTTGGACACTTGCGGAAACCAGAGCATCCGTGAAAAATCACAAATGTTTGACGCTGTTGAATATAAGGCCTCGATGACTTAATAAGGATTATTTTTCCAGTTCCCAACTGAATTGATGACTATGGTTAGACAAGTACATAATCTGTTAATTTTTCTGTATTGAGTCATTCTATTTTATGTTCAAGCTTGTGAGATAGTTCAGAAACAAAATTGAAGTCACGTGTTCTCAAAATTCTTCCACAGAGCATGTAATAATCCTTTATCACCTTTTGCTTTATGTAGAAAACTATTTTGGATGTCCTCTTACTTTGATCTGAGCCATAAACATAGCATCTGTTATGACATCCTTTTAAAAATTCCCTTCAATCAATAGGCCATATTGCCATTGCTTGTTTTACTGAACCACATAACAATACATTAAGGAATGAAAATGTCATTTGATATTTAAAATTAATTGATAAATAAAAGGACATTAGTTTTTCATCTTTAGATAAATTTCTTAATATTTGCAAACACAAATTCATTTTGTATTAAATCATGGGTTTAACAATGGTATTCTCATGTTTGTTAAGCTGTATATATCTTCTTGGATAGTTGAAATTTGGTCTTTTAATATATATCTCAAGAAATTATCATCCCACTATATTATCACCCATTTAACATATCTGAAACAAAATGAAATAGGTTATTTTACATTCTTGTGCTGAATAATGTTTTCACTTTTCTGGATTATGTTAGGTCATTTATTTTGTTGTTAAAGAACTTAAAATATTGGGAAGGAAATCCATACACTTGAAACAGTTAACTGACAATGCAGATCAGTAAATGATGAAATGCTTCTAAGAGTGATTTAGATAAAGGTGAAATAAGAGTCTACAGAAAAGATGGTGTAGTCTTGACTACATAAAGCCATAAAGATAGCATCTGTTATGACATCCTTAAAGAAGAAAGAGATTTAGAGTAATGTAGTGTTATCTAAATAGTT